>NT_187637.1:0-170399 GCF_000001405.40 Homo sapiens | reverse complement strand
GAATTCCCCATGAGTCCTGTGACCTCAGCCCACACGGGGACCTACAGGTGCTACGGCTCACTCAGCTCCGACCCCTACCTGCTGTCTCACCCCAGTGGCCCCGTGGAGCTCGTGGTCTCAGGTGAGGGCGCTGACCCTGTCCTCTCTGAGCTCAAAGGCTCAGCTCAGGCCCTGCCCCCAGCAGAGCTCTGGACACTAAGGAAAGAGGGGAGTGAAGGGAGAGGGTCCGCAGGGGAGGGTCCAGCCCATGGGAAGATGGAAATAGACAGGGACCTCCCACCCCTGGCTCCCACCCCTGAAGTCTCAGTAGAGTAAAGTGCAGGGAGGGCTGGGAGGAGACGGGGGGTGAACCTCAAAGGAGTTGAGATTAGACTGAGGGTGGAAGACGGAGGCCCCACCTGCTCCCATCCTGGTGTCTCCACCTCAGAATCAGAGCCTCTGTGTCCCAGTCCCCAACAGACGCCCTCCTGGAGAGAGAAGCATCCAGGCTGCCGGTGCCACCTGCATCCACCCCCGACCCCCCCCCACCCCGCCCCACTTCCTGCTTTCCCCTGCAGCCTCCCCAGCACTCAGCGCACACCTGAGCCTCACAGGGACTTGCACGTGCTCCCGCAGCAGCTCAGGGAATGTGCACCGCTCCTCTTCTGCGCCGTTGACATTTTTTATTTGGGTTTTTAAAATCTCATATTGGCCTTTTTGTCCAAGCTGGTGAAAGTAGATTTGCAGCATCACCTATTTTTATTCTCACCCGGTTTCGTAATAGCCCTGATCTCACGTGCTCCCTGAGGTTTTGTAAACTTCAGGTAGAAATGTGGACTTCCTTCGTTCTGGACATTTGCTATGGAGGGGGTAGGGCTTATCTTTTCAGAAAAAGTCAAATGACTGGTACCACTCCTTGAAACCCTACAGCACTTTCCAGACCTCAGAGGGAGGGAGAGAGAGGCAGAGACAGAGACAGAGAGACAGAGAGAGAGATATTGGGGCCGCTCTTTCCTGGCCGGTTCATCCTGGCCTATTCTCAATCCACCAAGGCCCCGAAGCTCATCTCCCCTCCTCCTCTGCCTCCTCCTCCACCCTGTAGACAAGCGGCCATTCCTTTCTGAAGAACAGGCTGAGACCTTTCTGGGACCTGCTCTTTCTGGAGCCTCTGTTGCTCCCTGTCTGGGTCTCCACACGCCTCCTTCCTGGCCCTTTTTCCTATTGAGGAATCAGCTTCAATGTCACCTCCAAGTGTGACCTTCACTGACGACACAGCTCAGCCCAGTCCTGCCTGCTTCTCATTTATGTCAAGTAATTAACCAACCTACACCATGCGGCTGAATTCCTTCTCTCTCTCTTCCACTCTCTGCATATACGTGTGTGTGTGTGTGTGCGCGTGTGTGGTCACACCAACATCTTACGTGACATTGAAACCTAGTTATCCGTATATCTATACAAATAATATATATTCACACATAAATATAGGTCTCTACCAATATATCTAAAACCATTGCTACGACTAGTAAATTTCCACTGCTGTGTTTCTATATGTTTGCTGTTTGTCTCCAGGTGAACCCACACTTCAAGAAGGCAGAGATAGTTTTTAAGGCCCACTATATATATAAAACAGATATATATTTGTGTTTGTGTTTTTCTGTGTGTGTATCACATTCTACCTGTTGCTGCCTATACGAATAATTAGCTACCTAGAGATTAAATGGACAATGAAACTCCAGGTGAAGTGGCTGAGGGCATGAAGGGGAGGCAGCCCCAGAATTTCACCCCTTTGTGCTTCTGACATTGAGGCTCCCCTGATGACTAACCCTCATCCACGGAGCCTGGGTCCTCAGCTGGTGGATCCGTGAAACTCTCATCTCCGGGGGAGTTGGCTCATGTTCTCCTGTGTCCCAGGCTGCACAGAGAGCACACAGGCCTTAGTGACCTCTGTACTGGGGACCACTTTCCTTGCAGATCCTGAGCTCTCAGGATGCAGGAAAACTCTCTCCCAGATGACTCAGGAGCAATGTTTAAATCCATAGAACACAGGAAAACTGAAATCGTTCAATGAGGAGACTAGAGGGAATCCTGCTAGCGGAGGAAGAGGTTTTTTTTTTTTTTTTTTAGAAATTCTGTAAAAGTCACATCATGAGACATTAAGTAATAAAAAAAAAATTGCAGAGCCCAGGTGAGAGGCTGGGCTCAGGTCTCTTTTTCTCTGTTTTGATTCTCTGGAGCAGCTGATACCCTCAGCCCATCACAAAACAAGTCTGACTCTGAGACTGGTATGTGAGGAGATACTCTCAGTGATGGGGCTGGCACTGAGGGTTGGGTCCTGTGAAGGGGAGGTGGGTGCCCTGGGTGGACAATCTGATCCACCCTGACCTCTGTGACCTCTTTGTCCACCATCCCCAGCCTCACACCTTCAGGATTACGCAGTGGAGAATCTCATCCACATGGGCGTGGCTGGCTTGATCCTGGTGGTCCTCGGGATTCTGTCATTTGAGGCTTGGCACAGCCAGAGAAGCTTCCCAAGATGCAGCCGGGAGGTGAACAGCAGAGAGGATAATGTACTTTATAGAGTCGTGAAGCCTCAGGAACAGATCTGATGATCCCAGGAGGTTCTGGAAGAAAATCTAGGGCCGATGCTATCTGGACTGTCTGCTGGTCATTTCCAGAGGAAGGAATCAATGTCCGAGTGCAGGGACATTTTCTGGGGTGATCCATGGAGAACCATTAAAATGTGATACCTTTCCTCTCCATTAATGTTGACTTTCCTTGGTTGGATCTGCCTCTTTTCCCACACTTAGACATGAGGCTCCATCCCACATGGCAGCGTTGGGTCCACACCTCTGCACACCTGCATGCTCTGGTCCATGGCGTGTCACACAGTCCTCTTCATTTCTCATTGCCACACTTCCTGGTGTACTTTACTGGGTCTTCATGTCTTCAGTTCAGAGTTCCGCACCTGGTTTAGGAACTAATTCAACGGGAGAAGATCAGAGTCCGACCAGGAAAAGATAAATGCACCGTGATGCCCTCACCTCCTGTGTGGACCCTATGAGCTCTTCCCTCCTTATCAGATGCTATCTGTGTAGTTTCTCCTGAAATATCACCACCTGGAATCAACACACTGGCATTTGAAGTCACGACCCAATGGTATGCTAATTCTGAAAAAGACATTTTTTGAAATGCTATGATTAGTGGCATTTACCAATTTCCTTGACGTAAATTCTTTTTTCATGGCCATAATCAAGATGCCAACGAGACATCCCTGAATGCAGGGTTGGGAAGCGTTGGACAGACTTGTCTTCACTCATAAGCACCAGGCATCTGATAGCTCACGTATACATCTTATTACCTTCCATTTTAGAGTGAATAATCATTTCTACTTCAGTATTTTGGCACAGGTAAAAGCAGTCCCATTACTGCGCGTATACCCAAAGGAATATAAATCATTCTATTGCAAAGATACATGCACACATGTGTTCATCGCAGCACTATTCACAATAGCAAAGACATAGAATCAACCCAAATGCCCATCAATGATAGACTGGATAAAGAAAATGTGAGACATATACACCACGGAATACTATGAAGCCATAAAAAGAAACAAGATCATGTCCTTTGCAGGGACATGGATGGAGCTGGAAACCATTATCCTCAGGAAACTAACACAGGAACAGGAAATCAAACGCTGCATGTTCTCACTTACAAGTGGGTGCTGAACAATGAGAATGCGTGAACACAGGGAGGGGAACAACACACACTGGGGCCTGTCGGGGGGGGGGTGGGGTAGGGGTAGGGAGAGCATTAGGAAAAATAGCTAATGTATGCTGGGCTTAATACCTAGGTGATGGGTTGACAGGTGCAGGAAACCACCATGGCGCACATTGACCTATGCAATAAGCCCACACATTCTGCACATGTACCCCGGAACTTAAAATAAAAATAAAAATTAAAATTAAATTATGACACCATGATCCTAGCATATCCAAAAAAGACAAAAATGCCAATATCAAATGTCGGAGAAAATAGGGCTGAATTAAAAATCCAATACAACGCCGGGCGCAGTGGCTCACGCCTGTAATCCCAGCACTTTGGGAGGCCAAGGTGGGTGGATCACTTGAAGTCAGGAGTTTGAGACCAGCCTGGCCAAACGTGGTGAAACCCTGCCTCTACTAAAAATACAAAAATTAGCCGGGTGTGGTGGCACTCGCCTGTAGTCCTAGCTACTAGGGAGGCTGAGGCAGGAGAATCACTTGAACCCGGGAGGCGGAGGTTGCAATGAGCTGAGATCATGCCACTGAACTCCAGCCTGGGTGACAGAGCGAGACTCCGTCTCAAAAAAAAAAACAAAAAAAAAAAACCCTCAAAAGCTCAGGCAGCAAAAGCAAAAATAGGCAAATGAGATCATAGCAAACTGCAAACCTTCTGCACAATCAAGGAAACAAACAGCAGAGTGAAGAGACCACCTACAGAATGGGAAAGAATATTTGCAAGCAAGAGATTAATCTCCAGAAAATACAAGGAGCTCAAACAATGCAGAGGTTTTGAAGGATGGTGATGAGAAGGTTCTGCTACTTACAGAAAGGAAGTTTAGGAGAAACAAAACCACAAACCTAGGTGGTGGGATGGCTTGATCTGCTTCTGTCTGTGACTCACTTAACAGTCTTAAACACATCTCCCTAAGCCTCCTTCCCCCGGTGGGATTCCTGGGTCTTGTGAGGACCTCATCGGTCCCTCTGGTAAACCCAGGCACAGAGTGGAGCAGCTCTTGTTTTCTCAGGATCTTCCCCTTCACATACAATTAACGCACCCACACGATGCTACTCTTAGAACCCTTCAAATAAATGTTTCCCGGTTCATTCACTACCAGAATCCAAGCTCAGCTTGTTCCCCAGCTTAGGACTGAGTGGTATCTTGGAGGTAGTTTCCACCATAGCCCCCTTCCTCTGCTATAAGGCTCAGTGACACACCAGAGACACCCCCTCCAGCCAGGCTCCTGGAAGGTCTGGATGAAGACTGGGATGCTGAGGCATTGCTCAGCAATGTGGCTTAACTCAAACTTCTATGTGAAACTTCCAACCACTTTCAGCAAGGGGTCACTTCCAGCGTCTTGGGGTGTGAGGGCACTTTGGTTGGTCCCTGCAATATCAGACCCTATAAAGATCCTACAAACATGTTGCAGACTCTTTGAAGATTCTGGCACTTTCAGACATGCTGTTGGGAAATGGTGACACCCATAACCTTCTAGTTCCAGGACAGGGAGCCTTAGCCCAGGGCTATGTTTTCTGAGGGTCCTCAAAGTAAACAGTTCTATGTGCCAGGAGAACCCTAAATCTCATATGGTTCTAAGGGCAGAAAGCCACACACGCACCGGCAAAAAGCAAGAGATTCAAGGAAAAGCTGAGCAAAGACAGACAGGAAAACACACACATGATGAGCCAGCTTGTAGAGCTAGAACTGAGATGGAGAGAGGCACGAGTGGGTAACAGAGTGTGCTCCCCAGAACAGGTGGAGAGAATGCCTTTTTCATGCCCTGAGGATAGGCTGGGTAAGGCTTGTGCTCGACAGTCAAGGACTATTTTTTTCCCCAGGCGTCTACAAGAGACCTTCCTTCTCAGCTCAACTGTGCCCTGCAGTAAGTAATGATGGAGAGAATGTGACTTTGCTCTGCAGCTCTGGAAGCTCATTTGACCTGTGCCTTCTAACGAGGAAGGTAAGGCCCCTGGACACTGGCTCACTGGGGTGCAGAGACAGAGTGGGGCATTCAGGCCAACTTCTCTCTGGGTCTTGGGGCTGGTGATGGGACCTCTAGATGCTGCAGCTCTCTGTCGATGGCTCTGCCTGTGAGTGATCAGCCCTAGATGACCACTGTTACTGGGGGTAGCCCATGCCTGCTGCATGCCCTGTGAAACACTAAATCATATAGCCACGTCTGAGGGACAGCCTGCTGGAGACATGGGAATCTTAGGGATTCCAGACAAAATGAAGCAATGAGAAACACAAAGAGGAAAAGAGAGGTTGAGTATGACAGTGGTGTCAGGGTGTAGGGTGGTAGACAGGGCAGCTCCACACTCTCCACTGCTTCCTGTCTGGAGGCCCACTTTGGGGTCCTACTTATCCAGGTGAGTGAAGGAAGAGGTCAGGACAAACACAGGAGGTGAAGCCAGATACAGTGTGGGGAGATAAGCAGTGGCCTCAGCCTCTAGCCCTTTTCCATCTTCCAGAAGCCCCTCCTGAGCTCTCATCACAGACAGATTTCCCATTTGGAAACCCAGATATTTATCATGCCGGGGGGGGGAGGCAATGTCTCTTGATTATGGGGACTTTCCATCACCAGGCACCTGCTAGTCCTCTCTATACCTTCCCTTCAGGAAAGGAATTGTCCCTCATGGGATTCCAGGGAAGAGACCCCAGGACCCCTATCAGTCACTAGGGAGATGACAGAGTAGAGGAAGTCAGGGGACCAACCCTCCACAGAGAATGGTCCTACTTCAGTGGGGTGAGGGAAACTCTCACTCATCCATTTGCTGTCCTGTTACCTCGGAACCCTAAGAGAACTTGTTAGTCACACACAGAATCTACCCCTGAATGTGGTGTGCAAAGTGGGGCTCTTAGCCTCCAGTGTGAAGTCCCTGGGAAGATGGAATGTCCCTGTGTGAGTGAAGGCTGTGCCACCGCCCAGCTATGTGGCCTTGGGCTAGGCAACCCCTCCCAGGTCCCCAGTTCCCCATCTGCATCGGAGACTGTGGCCAGTGCGGGAATCCACAAGGCCCTTCAGCCTCCAAAGCTCTGGGACAGAGGCCTCGTCCACAGGGAGGAAGGGGTCAGAGTGACCTGAGTCCCTACTCAGGAGCGAGTCTAATCCACTCTCCATCGGGGCCTGTGGGGAAGGGAAGATGAAGAAACGGAGCCTGCACCTGGCTATGTGGGCGCAGTAGATTAAGGGGAGGATGAGGGTTCCTGAGAGTGTGTCATGTGGCAGAGACCCTGCAGCACACTCAGGAAGGGCTCTGGAAGGATCCAAGGAAATTTTCCAAGAAGAGGGCAGAGTAAGTGACAGAGACCCTCAACCATGGATTTCACTGAGGTGCCCATGATGACATAGGGAGAACGGGGGTGTCTGGGCAGGAAGAATATCGTCAGGGTGAAATGAATGGTGATGAGCTTCGTGTCAGAGCTCCTGTGGAGGGAGGGGCCTGGCCCACATGAAAAGGTCTCTGATCCTACCCCAGCCCCCAGCCCCTGTTCTCCAGGATGACACTGTGGGAATTCCATCAGGAGGGGTGTGATAGGGCTGGTCTTCCTGGCTCGATTCACAACACTGGCTGGGGACTGGGAACCCATGGGGAGCCACAGGTGGAAAGGGAGGAGCCTCAGTGAACCCAGCAGGAACAAACATAGGGTCTGACATGATGGAACTCACTTCCTGGAGGCCAAGAAAGACACTTGCGGGACAAAAGGGAAAGAGCGGTGGCTTGCTTAGTTCCATTCACTGACAACCCACAGGAGATGTCCAGTCCTTTTTTGATTTATTATTTTATTTTATTATATTTTATTTTATTTTATTTTATTTTCACATGGAGTTTTGCTCCTATTGGCCAGGCTGGAGTGCAATGGCACGATCTTGACTCACTGCAACCTCCACCTCTCAGGTTCAAGCGATTCTCCTGCCTCAGCCTCCTGCATAGCTGGGATTACAGGCGACTGCCACCACAGCCAGGTAATGTTTGTATTTTTAGTAGAGATGAGGTTTTGCCATCTTGGCCAGGCTGGTCTCAAACTCCTGATCTCATGTGATCCGCCTGTATCAGACTGCCAAAGTGTTGGGATTACAGGCGTGAGCCACCACACCCAGCCTTTTGTATTTTTAGTAGAGATGGGGTTTCACCATGTTGGTCAGGCTGGTCTTAAACTCCTGACCTCAGGTGATCCATCCACCTCGGCCACCCAAAGTGCTGGGAGTACAGATGTTAGCCACCGTACCCAGCGAGAGTTTCAGTGCTCTATCGGATTCCCTGCCTACTCCATGTTGCATGTAATGTTCCACCTCAGGGATGTTTCTCTCCTTTCTGTCTCCTTCCTCTTCTCCTTCTCCTTTTTTCTTTCTAATTTTTATTTTTTTGAGACAGAGCCTTGCTCTGTTACCCAGGCTAGAGTACAGTGGCACGATCCCAGCTCACTGCAACCTCTGCCTCCTGGGTTCAAGAGATTCTCCTGACTCAGCCTCTCAAGTAGCTGGGATTACAGGCACCCGCCATCACACCCAGCTAGTTTTTGTATTTTTAGTAGAGACGAGGTTTCACCATGTTGGCCAGACTGGTCTTGAACTCCTGCCCTCAGGTAATCCACCCGCCTGTGGCCCCCCAAAGTGCTGGGATTACAGGCGTGAGTCACCACTCCCAGCCCTGAATGATCTTTCCTCTTTAGTGTGTTCTCACAACCACCTCTCACTGAGCTTTCTTGTTTTTTGTTTTTGTTTTTGTTTTTGTTTTTGTTTTTGGCAGAGTCTGGCTTTGTTGCCTATGCTGGAGTGCAGTGGTGCAATCTCAGCTCACTGCAACCTCCGTCTCCTGGGTTCAAGCGATTCTCCCACCTCAGCCTCCTGAGTAGCTGGGATTACAGGCACCCACCACCACACCCAGCTAATTTTTGCATTTTTAGTAGACACAGGGTTTCACCATGTTGGTCAGGCTGGTCTCGAACTCCTGACCTTGTGATCTGCCAGCCTCAGCCTCCCAAAGTGCTGGAATTACAGGCATGAGCCACCACTCCCAGCCCTGGATTATCTTTCCTCTTTAGTGTGTTCTCACAACTACCTCTCACTGCTGGGTTTTCTCTCTTTCTTTTTTTTTTTTTTTTTTTTTTTTTTTGAGACAGTCCGGCTTTGTTGCCCAGGCTGGAGTGCAGTGGCGCGATCTCGGCTCACTGCAAGCTCCACCTCCCAGGTTCAAGCGATTCTCCCACCTCAGCCTCCCTAGTAGCTGGGATTACAGGCGCATGCCAGCACACCCAGCTAGTTTTTGTATTTTTAGTAGAGACAGGGGTTTCACCATGTTGGTCAGGCTGGTCTTGAACTCCTGACCTTGTGATCTTCCTGCCTCGGCCTCCCAAAGTGCTGGGATTACAGGTGTAAGCCACTGCACCCAGCCAGCTTTCTCATTCTTATCCCTTAGTTCTCTGCCAGGGAATAAGATAGAAACCATTCCCTCAACCACATTCTAGTCATGGTCCCTATTCTCATGTTTCCACTTCTCTCTCTTTGGTAATAAATCAATTAATTGAGAAACAAGTAGCTAAATGTTCATCTTCTGCTAGTCTGCATCCCCTTATTTTCCCAGAGCCTCCCCTAATGAAACTGACTTTATTTACTGAACGCAGGAAATGGGTCTCTCCAGATCAGGATGACTTTCTGCTGGGAAATATTTGTCTTTGCATCAGTGGGGAAAAAGAAAGCCGATGTCATGAGTGGAGGCTCTGAGAAAATAAGGGCTGTGTTTTCAGTTTAGACCCAGCTAAGTTGGGAGCTGACATAGATATGATGTTGGGTCCACCCTCCACGGGCAGGTTTTCAGACAAAGGATCCCTGGCAATCAGGGGACACCTCAGGTCTGGGCTGAGATGTGTGCAGAGGGCCTGGGTCCTCCTGAGCCCCTGCACTGGGGGGGGAATAAGAGACAGGCCCAGCAAGGGGCTGTCCACTTCCTGTGGGTTCACAGCTGTGGGGACCCAGGCAGGCGGCAGCAGGCTCTGACTTAACCACATCCGTGCATCTGTCTGTCATGGAGGGCCATGTGGTCACCTGTCCCACAGCTGGAGCACGCAGAGCAGGCATCATGGTGTCCATCCTCACTGTTCTTCTGTGCCTCAGTCAGTGGTGGAGAGACGAGGGACAGGAGGGGCACTGGGCTGAGGTGGGGAGGGTCCCACAGCAGCCTTGTTCACCAGAGAGCCTCAGGGCTCCAGTGGCTACTGGTGCTCCAACAGGAAGGGAAGCAGCCACACCTCTGTGTTCCAAATCCCCCACAGGAAACTCTTCTCCATGGCTGAGTCTGGGCCAGAAAGCCCAAGCACTTGCAGGTGAGTCTCTGCTAACCTCCCATGCCTGACCTCACACTCAGCACCTGGACTCTCATCTCAGGGGCTTCTGAACTGAGGGTGAGAAAATCAAGAGGGTCTGTGACCTGAGCTGGGAATGAGGAGCGGGGGAGGTCTGTGGACCCCAGCCTGTGGTTTCTTCCAGGGACCCTCCCCAAACCCAGCCTCTGGGCTGAGCCAGGCTCTGTGATTACCTGGGAGAGCCCCATGACCCTCTGGTGCCAGGGGACCCTGGATACCCAGGGTTACTATCTCACCAAGGAAGGAAACCCCATGACCTGGTACCAACAGAGCCCACCAGAGCCCAGGAACAAGACCAACTTCTTCATCCCATCCATGAGAGAGCACCATGCAGGGAGATACCACTGTCACTATCTCAGCCCTGCAGGCTGGTCAGAGCGCAGCGAGCCCCTGGAGCTGGTGGTGACAGGTAAGAGGACACTCAGGGGTCCCAGCCCCAGGCTCTGCCTGCAGGAAGGGGGTCAGCTCTCAAGGGCATCTCCGTTCTAATAACTCAGCCCTGGGGGATGATGTGGGACGCGTGAGCCCCATTTAAGACAGTGTCTCCTTCTCTCCTAGGAGCCCACAGAAAACCCACTCTCTCAGCCCTGCCGAGCCCTGTGGTGACCTCAGGAGAGAACGTGACCATCCAGTGTAGCTCAAGGGTGGGATTTCACAGGTTCATTTTGATTGAGGAAGGAGAAAACAAGCTCTCCTGGATGCTGGACTCACAGGAACTCTCCAAGGGGCTGTCCCTTGTCCCTGGCCCTGTTCCCTGTGGGCCGTGTGGCTGCCAGTCACCGGTGGATGTTCAGATGCTATGGGCATTACACGAACTTCCCCTGGGTGTGGTCGGAACCCAGTGATACCATGGAGATCCTGGTCTTAGGTATGGATGTCTTCCTCCTTGCCCTATTTATTTTTGAGAACTTACTCTCACGGAGCCCCATGTAGGAGGGTGGAACAAGGGAAGTTTGGGACTCCTGAGCCCAGAGACACTGAGTGTGAGAGACAGTGAGACCTGCAGGGCCAGGAGGGGAGAAGGAAGGGGTGTGGGAGGAACCAGCCCTCCTAGTCCCGACTCTTCTTTCCCTCCAGGCGTGTCTAGGAAGCCCTCCCTCCTGACCCTGCAGGGCCCTGTCGTGGCCCCTGGGGAGAATCTGACCCTCCAGTGTGGCTCTGATGTCGGCTATGACAAATTCACTCTGTACAAGGAGGGGGGACATGACCTCGTCCAGGGCTCTGGCCGGCAGCCCCAGGCTGGGCTCTCCCAGGCCAACTTCACCCTGGGCCCTGTGAGGGTCTCCCACGGGGGCCAGTACAGATGCTACGGTGCACACAACCTCTCCTCCGAGTGGTCGGCCCCCAGTGACCCCCTGAGCATCCTGATCGCAGGTGAGGAGCCCAGCAGGTTCAGTCAGGGACCCAGGCTCCGCACAGGCCCTGCTGGGGGAGCCCAGGTGGTGATGGCCGGGATGAGGGGTGGGGGTCCTAAGGGACGGAGAGACAGACAGAGACAGGGGATGGGCGGGGAGGGGGAGACTCAGAGAAAACAGAGACAGAGACACTGAGGGTCCCAGGGAGAGGCCTGGGGAGGTGTCAGCTCAGAACGAGGTGGGGCAGCCCCTCACCCATCCTTCTTCTCTCCAGGACAGATCCGTGGCAGACCCTCCCTCTCGGTGCAGCCGGGCCCCACGGTGGCCTCAGGAGAGAACGTGACCCTGCTGTGTCAGTCACGGGAGCAGTTGGACACTTTCCTTCTGACCAAGGAGGGGGCAGCCCATCACCCACTGCGTCTGAGATCAGAGCACCAAGCTCAGCAGCACCAGGCTGAATTCCCCATGAGTCCTGTGACCTCAGCCCACGCGGGGACCTACAGGTGCTACAGCTCACGCAGATTCTTCCCCTACCTGCTGTCTCACCCCAGTGACCCCCTGGAGCTCGTGGTCTCAGGTGAGGCCGCTGACCCTGTCCTCTCTGAGCTCAAACCTCAGCTCAGGCCCTGCCCCCAGGAGAGCTCAGGACGCTAAGGAAAGAGGGGAGTAAAGGGGGAGGGTCGGCAGGGGAGGGCCCAGCCCATGAGAGGGTGGAAATAGTCAGGGACCTCCTAATCCTGGGCTCCCACCCCAGAGACCTCAGATGGGGCTAAAGGCCAGGGAGGGCTGAAATGAGATATGGAGAAACCTTGGAGGAATCATGCTTAGGCTGAGGGTAGAAGATGGAGGCCCCACCCACTCCCCACCTGGGCTCCCCTGGCGGCCCCAAAATACTCAGTGCATACCTGAGACGAAGGGGAGATCATGCACCTGCTCACTGCAGCAATGCAGGCAAATTATTCAACAGCAAACCTCGTGTGCAATTCCTTTCTGTCCTTTATTTTTTATGTCCACATATCTAGTTTCTCTTTCTGTTTCTGAAGATTTCAAAGCAATGCTGGCATTTATAATTTACACATTTAATTTGTTAGGTAGCGTTATGATGTAAAATAACTGTGCTCTGATTTTCTTTGGGATTAAATTAAATATGTGCATTCATGATGGAGAATAACTTCTCATTAATAATGTCTTTGTATCCAATACATTTAAAATTAAACTTTATACAGTTAGCAGATGCTTGAAGTTGTATTCATAAAAATTGTGGACATTGTGAATTTTAAGCATTGTTTTACTACTTGAATAATTTGAAAGTCTTTGATTCCTTTCTATTTTCTAAAATTAGTTACGTATGGATGAGAAAGCTATTGGTTTGGGTATGCTAATTTTAGTTCCTATTAACTTACCACAGACACACTCCCTTTCAATCCTTTCCGAAATGATCTCTTCTGATTTATTGATAATAATTACATTAACCACAAGAAAATGGAGGACAAACTTGTTTGTTTCTAAATTATATAATACTCTTCTCACTTCAAATATATATGTATGTGTTTATATATACTCACACACTATTATATATCTTATAATATATATTATGTATTATATATTTATATATACACTATTATATATCTTATATATTATGTATTATATATTTATATATACCCACACATTATTATATCTTATAATATATATTATGTATTATATATTTATATATACCCACACATTATTATATCTTATAATATATATTATGTATTATATATTTATATATGCACTATTATATATCTTATATATTATGTATTATATATTTATATTACCCACACATTATTATATCTTATAATATATATTATGTATTATATATTTATATATACACACACTATTATATATCTTATTATATATTATGTATTATATATTTATATATACTATTATATATCTTATAATATATAATGTATTATATATTTATATATACACACACTATTATATATCTTATATATTATGTATTATATATTTATATATACATACTATTATATATCTTATAATATATTATGTATTATATATTTATATATATACACTATTATATATCTTATTATATATTATATATTTATATATGCACACACTATTACATATCTTATTATATATTTATATGTATACACACACTATTATATATCTTATTATATATTATGTACTATATATTTATATATACTATTATATATCTTATAATATATAATGTATTATATATTTATATATACACACACTATTATATATCTTATATATTATGTATTATATATTTATATATACATACTATTATATATCTTATAATATATTATGTATTATATATTTATATATATACACTATTATATATCTTATTATATATTATATATTTATATATGCACACACTATTACATATCTTATTATATATTTATATGTATACACACACTATTATATATCTTATTATATATTATGTACTATATATTTATATATACTATTATATATCTTATAATATATAATGTATTATATATTTATATATACACACACTATTATATATCTTATATATTATGTATTATATATTTATATATACATACTATTATATATCTTATAATATATTATGTATTATATATTTATATATACACACTATTATATATCTTATTATATATTATATATTTATATATGCACACACTATTACATATCTTATTATATATTTATATGTATACACACACTATTATATATCTTATATATTATATATTTATATATACTCACACTATATCTTATAATACATATTATGCATACACATATGCATAATACATATTATCTATACACATATGCATAATACATATTATGTATACACATATGCATAACACATATTATGTATACACACATATTTACACCTATGCATATATGTATGTATGTATGCGAATGTACCTCTGCCACGGCAGGGAAAGGTTCTATCACACAACTACAGAGCAGTTAGGAGAAGTGTAGACACAAAGGAATGCAGCAACTGAGGGACATGTTGGCTTAAGTCTCTTCAACTCCTCACACACCTCCCCCTTTTTTGGTTGATTCTCAGGAGCAGCTGAGACCCTCAGCCCATCGCAAAACAAGACAGACTCCAAGACTGGTGTGTAAGGAGATGCTCTCGGTTATGGGGCTGGCACAGAGGGTCAGGTCCTGTGAAGGGGAGGTGGGTGCCCTGGGTGGACATCCAGGGGTCCCGGGTGATGTTGATCTGCCCTGACCTCTGAGACCTCTTGGTCCACCATCCCCAGCCTCACACCCCCAGGATTACACAGTGGAGAATCTCATCCGCGTGGCTGTGGCTGGCTTGGTCCTGGTGGTCCTCGGGATTCTGCTGCTTTAGGACTGGCACAGCTAGAGAAGTCCCCAAGATGCAGCAAGGAGGTAAATACATGAGAGAACAATGCACCCTTCAGAGTGCCAGAGCCTTGGCAATGAATCTGATAGTCCTAGGAGGTTCTGGAAGAAAGTCTGGACCATCATTCGGGAAACCGTCTACTGAGAAAGTCGAGAAGGGGAGGCTTGGGTCAGGTTCAGGAAGATGTCTGGGTGCCTGTAGAGAACGCTTCCTCCATTAAACTTCCATTAAATGGCAGTGCTTTCAGTCCTGCTGTTGTGGATCCTCCGTGTCTGCCCCTCCCTTCCTTTCGCTCTCTGTGATGTGAAGGCACGTCCCCCATGGTGGGTTTGCATCCACACCCCTGCGATCACGTGCTCTGGTCCACTGTCATGTAATACATTTGTCTTTGTTTCCAACTACCGCATTCTCTAAAGTGAACTATTGATTCTCCATCTTTTCAGTTCTGAGCATAGATCTGGATTAAATAACTGGAATAGGTGGGCAGATTTGTATTTGGGACTTTGAAACATGAGTCTGAGGCCAGGCACAGTGGCTCACACCTGTAATCCCAGCACTTTGGGAGGCTGAGGTGGGCGGATCACTTGAGGTCAGAAGTTCGAGACCAACCTGGCCAACATGGTGAAACCCTGTCTCTACTAAAAGATACAAAAATTAGCTGGGTGTGGCAGTGAGCACCTGTAATCCCAGCTGCTCAGGAAGCTGAGGCGGGAGAATAGCTTGAACCCGGGAGGCGGAGGTTGCAGTGAGCCAAGATCTTGCCACTGCACTCCAGCCTGGGCAACAGAGCAAGACTCCATCTCCAAAAAAAAAAAAAAAAAGGGAAATATGAGTCTGAAATGATGCCCTAGCACCCTCTCTGGACCCTGAATTCCCTTCACTCTTCATCGGATGATACCTGTGTACTTTGTCCAGAAATATCATCTCTCAGAATGAGCACACTAACGCTCGAAGGCTCAGCCTCATGGTATTCTGTTAAACTGGCTCTCTGAAAAAATTATTTTCTTAAGAAAACTCTGAACATATAAAGCCCCAGATTTATGGTATTTGCTGATTAGTGTGGTATAAATACGTCCTTTATGGCCAACTTCAGGGTGCCCATATGACGCCATTGAATGCACAGTTGGGAAGTAGTCAAAAGAATTGTCGTTCACACGAGTATGAACCAGTTGTAAAGTTTATTTAAAGGTTATAATAATTTCTGCTTCATTCTTATGGTGTAGTTTCAGTAAAATTGTAATGTCAAAAATCATAGCACAATGGAGGGAAAAGAAAAAAATAGGCCGGGTGTGGTGGCTCATGCCTGTAATCCCAACACTTTGGGAGGCCGAGGCAGGAGGATCACCTGAGGTCAGGAGTTCGAGACCAGCCTGGCCAACATGGTGAAACGCTGTCTCTACTAAAAATACAAAAATTAGCCAGACATGGTGGCGCCTGCCTGTAATCCCAGCTACTTGGGAGGCCAAGGCACGAGAATCGCATGAACCCAGGAGGCGGAGGTTGCAGTGAGCCGAGATCACTACAGCCTGGGTGATAGAGCAAGACTCAGTCTCAAGAAAAGAAAAAAGTAGCAAAATCATTTTTTGGAAAGAATATTGAACATGTAGAATTTTAGTACATTAATAGTAAGAGTACAAATTGCTTTAATCAATTAAGGAAGTGTATTGGAATTATCTAGTTAAAAAGAGGAGGCACATGGCTGTGACCCTTCTTAATTATGTACTTAATTATGTACCCTAGAGATAAATGTCTACTTATGTGTCATGATACACTCACAACTGTTATAGGAATGCTGTTCCTATTAGCCAAAGCTATAAAATACCAAAGTCCACCTACGAAAAAAATAAACATAGTGTGGTAAATAGACTCAGTGGAATATTACAAGGTAGTAAAATGCATAAATGAAAATAACAAACAGCACCATACTTCAATTTTCAAGCATAAAGTCAAGTAAATGAAGTATTATTTGAAAATGTGTGCATGGTTATTTCATTACATAAAGGTCAAAAGGAGGGTACATTTATTATTTAGGAAAACACACCTAAGATATCTTTGTAAAATCTGTAAAATCAATAGTACTGTTTCCCCTCTTTCATTCCTTATCTTGAAAATGCTTGTCTCTTTTTCTGCCATGGCTTTCTACCTTGCTTGATATATTACAATTTTGTAACCTGCTTATTTCATCATATGTCATAAGTTCACATGTATATCCCATGAATTATTGAGGGTCTTATTCATTTCAAGTGGCATTTAGGTTTTTAAAAATATCTTTTGGCGACCAGGTGCAGTGGCTCATGCCTGTAATCCCAGCACTTTGGGAAGCCAAGGCAGGTGGATCACGAGTTCAAGAGACAGAGATCATCCTGGCGAACATGGTGAAACCCCGTCTCTACTAAAAATACAAAAAAAAAAAAAAAAATAGCTGGGCATGGTAGAGGGTGCCTGTAGTCCCAGCTTCTCAGGAGGCTGAGGCGGGAGAATGGCATGAACCCGAGAGACGGAGGTTGCAGTGAGCCGAGATCGTGCCACTGCACTCCAGCCTGGCAACAGAGTGAGACTCTGTCTCAAAAAAAAAAAAAAAAGAAAGAAAGAAAGGAAGAAAAAAAAATCTTCTGGCATTAACTATTAAGAAATTGCACTATAAAAAGAGAATATAATGCATAAGACGGCAATTTGAAAAGATTCAGATATAATTTTTTCTTATCTAGTAAATACTTAGTAATTTGTCTAATGCATGCCTTAAATACATACCACTTTATGCAGAGGTTGCCATGAGCCGAGATCGCGCCGTTGCACTCTAGCCTGGGTGGCAGAGCAAGACTCCATCTCAAAAAAAAAAAAGAAAATCTCACAGAAGGAGACCCAGAGCTTCCAGCCTCGCCCAGAGTCTTGGCTCACTCCCTGTGTGTGTGGACCCTAGGGAGCCTCTTCTGTTCCCCACAGAGGTGGAAACTTCCTCCTTAATAACCCCTTGATGGTCCCAGGCACTGGTGACCACTGAGCTTTGCTCTCTCTTTTTTCTTATGGTTCCCTGTCTACTTCCAGGGCTATCACTTTACTTTTTGTGCATTAGACCATGAATAATGTTTTAGAAACATTCTATCAAATTTCTCAGTGCTAGGAACAACTGAGGTTTTTGATTGGGTGCCTCAAATGTCTACCCTTACTGTGGAGTCCGACAACAGGATTCTAACAAGTCCCAACCCCTTCATGCCTTAACCTGGTCTGGAAATAAATTATGTTTAAGCCATCCCATACCCCAGCCACATCAAGCCCCACAACCACTCTGAGAAGTGAGATTTATAGCAAAATGCTCCAAACAAGGTAACTAAGGTTCAGACAAGGGATGTTAATGTGTCCATTTACATAAACAAAAAATGGTAGATGATCAGCTTTCCCTTTGAAATCAGAGTACTAATCTGACTCATTGTTCCCTGAATTTTAGAGGCAGGACCTCAGGAGGAGCTAAGAATCCTACCCCAGGAAAATTACCAATATCAGAAAGGAAACAATGACATCAGTACAGATCCTACAGAATTCAAAAGATTCTAAGTGGACATTATGAAGACATTATTCAGCTTAGATGAAGTGGTCACATATCACAAGAAAACAAACTGTCTAAAACAATCTCTGAAATACCTAGACATTCCCTGAATCATTGAGTTATTAAATAAAATACATTTTAAAATTAAACTCTTTTCAGGAAATAAACTTCAATGTCCCCTAGTGCACTCTCCAAAACATGTAGATGGGAATAAATACTGTTCTGAAAGACATTTCCCTGGAATTACAACCATTCAATATATTTTAAAAGGCAATCATAAAAATATAAAAAGGATATATCAGGAGAAGAAATGTAAATGGCCTAAATTCCCCACATAAAAGGCATAGAGTGGCAACGTGGATAAAAAGCCAAGAGCCAACTGCCTGCTGTCTTCAAGAGACCCATCTCACATGTAATGACACCCACAGGCTCAAAGTAAAAGGATGAAGAAATATTTACTAGGCAACCAGGAAACAAAAAAAAGGAAGGCATTCCTATTCTTATATCACATGAAACACACTTTAAATCAACAGCAATCAGGAAGGACAAAGAAGGGCATTACAAAATGATAAAGGGTTCAATTTGACAGAAGACTTAACTATTCTAAATATATATGCACCCAAATTTGGAGCACCCCGATTCATAAAACAAGTTATTCTTCACCTATGAAAAGAGTTAGACAGCCACACAATAATAGTAAGGGACTTCAGTATCCCACTAACAACGTCAGATGAATCACTAAAACAGAAAACTAACAAAGAAATTCTGGTCTTAAAGACAACACTTGACCAATTGGACCTCATAGACATCTACAGAGTACTCCACCCAACAACTGCAGAATATAGATTCTTCTTATCTGCACACACAAAAAACATATCATATTCTAAGACTGGCCACAAAGCAAGTCTCAATAAATTCAAAGAATCAAAATCATAACAAGGCACACAATAAAAATAGAAAAAAATACCAAGATGATCTCTCAAAACTACAGAAAAACATGGAAATTTAACAACTTGTTTCTGAATGAATATTAAGAGCCATCTATGACAAATCCACAGCCAACATCATATTGAATGGTCAAAAGCTGGAACTGTACCCCTTGAGAACTCTTGGGTGAACAATGAAATTAAAGCAGAAATCACAAAACATTATTTAAAATTAATAAAAATAGAAACAAACTTACCAAAACCTTTGGGATGCAGTTAAAGCAGTGATAAGAGGAAAATTTATAGCAATACATGCCTCATCAGAAGTTTAGAAAGATCTCAAATTAGTGACTTAACACTGCATCTAGAGGAACTATTAAAAAAAAGGAACAGTCCAAACCCAAGGCCAGCAAAAGATGAGAAATAACTAAAGTCAGAGAGAACTGAATAAATTGAGACCAAAAAGTCCATACAAGAGATAAATAAAACCAAGAGTTTTTCTTTGAAAAAAAATAAACAAAATTCATAGACTGTTAGCTAGATTAACAAAGAAAAAGAGAAAAGATCCAAATAAACACAAATAGAACTGACAAAACAATGTTACGAACAATCCCACAGAAATAGAAAAGATCGTCAAAGACTATTATGAACACCTCTATACAAACAAGCTAGAAAACCTAGAAGAAATGGATAAATTCCTGGTAACACAAAATTTATCATATTTCAACCAGGAAGAAAGTGAAAACCTGAACAGACCAATAACAAGTTCAGAAATTTAATCAGTAATAAAAACCCTACTAACTAAAAATAGCCCAGGACCAGATGGATTCACAGCCAAAATCCAACAGCCATACAAAGAAGAACTGATACCGATCTTACTGAAACTTTTGGAAAAAATCAAGGAGTGGGGGCTTCTTCCTAACTCATTCTATGAAGCCATCATCACCATGATACCAACATCTGTCAGAGACATAATGAAAAAAAGAAAACTACAACTAAATATCCTTAATGAACATAGACATAAAATCCTCAACAAAATGCTAGCAAATTGAATCTGTCAGTGCATCAAAAGTTAATTCACATGATCAAGTAAGCTTTATTTTTGGGATGCAAGGTTGGTTCAACCTACAAAGTCAACGAATGTGATTCACCTCATAAACATAATTAAAAACAAAAACTATATGATCATCTCAATAGATGCAGAAAAAGCTTTCTGTAAAATCCAACATCCCTTCATGATAAAAACTGTCAATAGGCATCAAAGGAACATACCTCAAAATATTAAGAGCCATCTATGACAAACCCACAGCCAACATCATATTGATGGGCAAAAGCTGGAACCATACCCCTTGAGAACCGAAACAAGACCAGGATGACCACTCCCGCCATTTTAATTCAACATGGTACTGGAAGTCCTAGCCAAAGCAATCAGGCAAGAGAAGGAAATAAAAGGCATTAAAATTGGAAAAGAAGTAGTGATACTGTCTCTCTTTGCTGATGAAATAATTTTATACATAGAAAACCCTAAAGACTCTGTCAGAAGGCTCCTGAAACTGATAAACAAATTCAATAAAGTTTCGGGATTAAAAAAATGTACACAAATTAGTAACATTTCTATGCACCACTAACATTCTAGCTGAGAACTAAATCAAGAACACAATTCCATTTACACTAGCCACAAAGAAAATAAAATACCTAGGAATCCATCTAACCAAGAAGGTGAAAATTCTCTACAAGGAGAACTACAAAACACTTCTGAAAGAAATAAGAAATGATACAAACAAATGGAAGAATATTCCATGCTCATGAATTAGGAGAACAAATAGTTAAAATCGCCATACTTCCAAAAACAAATTGCAGACTCAATGCTATCCATTTCAAAATGCAATGTCATTTTTCACGAAATTATAAAAATTTATTCTAAAATGTATTTGGCACCAAAAAAAGAGCCTGAATACACATAGGAATCCTAAGCACAAAGAACAAAGCCCAGGCATCACATTACCCAACTTCAAACTATACTACAATGCTATAGTAACCCAAACAGCATGATACTACTACAAAAACAGACACATAGACCAATGAGACAGAATAGAGAACCCAGAAATGAGGCTACATACCTACAATCATCTTTGAAAAAATTGACAAAAACAAGCAATGTGGAAAGTACCCTTTCTTCAATAAATAGTTCTGGGATAACTGACTACTCATATGCAAAATAATAGAACTGGACCCCTAACTCTCACTATATACAAAAATTAACCCAAGATAGTTTAAAGATTTAAATGTAAAACCTCAAAATATTAAAATTCTAGAAGAAAACCTAGGAAATATCCTTCTCAAGATAGACTTTGGCAAAGAATTTATGGCTAACTCCCCAAAACCAATTGTGACAAAGACAGAAATTGGGACCTAACTCAACTGAAGAGCTTCTGCACAGCAAACGAAAGTATCAACAGAGTAAACAGATAACCTACAGACTGGGAGAAAATATTTGCAAACTATGCATCTGACAAAGTTCTAATATCCAGAATCTATAAGGAATGTAAACAAATCAACAAGCAGAAAACCAAAAAACCTCAATTAAGTATGACATGAACAGACACTTCTCAAAAGAAGATGTACACATGGCCAAAAAACATATGAACAAATGCTTATTATCAGTAATCATCAGAGAAATGCAAATTAAAACCACAGTGAGATACCATCTCACAACAATCAGAGAAGCAGAAGCAATTACTAAAAAGTTTTTTGTTTTTTTTAATAACAGATGCTGACAAGATTGTGGAGAAAAGGGAACACTTATACACTCTTGGTGGGAATGTTAACTAGTTCAGCCAATGTGATAAGCAGTTTGGAGACTTCTCAAATAACTTAAAATAGAACTACTATTCAATCAAGCAATCCCACTACTGGGTATATACCAAAAGGAAGGTAATTAACTATGTCAAAAAGACACATGCACTAGTATATTCATTGCTGTGCAATTCAGAATAGCAAAGATTTGCAGTCAACCTAAGTGCTCACCAACAGTGGATTAGTTAAAGAAAATGTGCTACATATACACATGGAACATTACATGGCCATAAAAAATAATGAAATCATGTCCTTTGCAGCAACATGAATGTAGCAGGAGGTCAATCTCCTAAGTGAACTAACCCAGGAACAGAAAACCAAATACCACATGTTATCACTTATAACTGAGAACCAAACATTGAATACACATGAACATAAAGATGGAAACAACAGATACCGAGGACTACAGATGGGGGGAGGAGTAGGGAGGTATAGGCTGAAGAAACACCTGTTGGATTCTATGCTCATTGCCTGGGTGATGGCATTGTTGGAACCACAAACCTCAGAGTCACACAATATGCCTATGTAACAAACCTGCATGCATACCTTTAATCTACAGTAAAGGTTGAAGTTATTTAAAAATAGGAAGAAGAATTACCCTATACCTAAAGCTAAGATTTTTCCCTTTGAATATTCGTTTCTTCATCACTGTAGATAAGCAGGGAAAGAAAAATTATTATACTATACTAGCCTTTTATGTGACCATGAGGATTTGGGGTAGGTAGGTGGACAGCTTAGATAATTCACCAGGATATTGATACAGGCTCCATGGCTGGAAATAACCAAGGATGAGTGCTGTGTTTTGAGTGGTCTCCCCCAGAAACGTTTGTTGAAATCCTAACCCCTGGTATGTATGAATGTGAATTCATATTATATAAAAAGGAATAAATAGCCTGAGCACAGTGGCTCACACCTGTAATCCCAGCACTTTGGGAGGCCAAAGCAGGTGGATCATTTGAGGTCAGGAGTTCTGGCCAATATGGCAAAACTTCATCTCTACAAAAAAAAAATACAAAAAAAAAAATTGGCTGGGTATGGTGGCGCATGCCTGTAGTCCCAGCTACTCAGGAGGCTGAGGCAGGAATTGCTGAAACCTGGAAGGCAGAGGTTGCAGTGAGCCAAGATCATGCCACTGCACTCCAGCCTGGGTGAGACGGCAAGATATTCTGTCAAAAATAAATAAATAAAAAACAGAAGAAGAAATACAAGAATGACAGCAAACTTTGTATTCAAAACTATGAAAGTAAGAAATAGGTGGACCAACATTTTTAAAGTGCTACAAGAAAATATTTCAAACTAGAATCTTTCAACCTGAAAAGGAAAACATTTTCCTGCAATAAAGGTGCCATTAAAAATGTCTCACAATTTATTACATGAAGCATTGTTCTACAATAAATGTTAAGCTCTTGAAGCAAAGATTAATGATACCATTTAGTAACTTGAAATTCAAAAAAGTGGAAGTATCCCAAGAGGCAAATACGTGTGCAATTATTAAATGTTTCATATCAACACCCAACCTTATGCTGTCTACATAAGCTGCACTTCAAATACTAATCCACAAGATGTAAATATTGAAAGAATGACATTACATTGTCATGATAATGCCCAGTGCAAAATATGCTTCTAGTCAGTTGTATACATAGAATAGGTAAATGTTTGTAATAAAAAGTATTCCTCAATAGAAGTTTCTTAACTCAAAGAATGAAATATTTCACCATGCACATACAAAGAAGAGATATATGGAGATATGAAGAGGAGTACTTCATAATGACAAAGAGGCAAATTCATAAATAAGACATAATAATCCTAAATGCCTACACACCTAAAGCTGGAACCTCAAAACACATTAAATTAAAGGCATAATTCAAAACATAATCAATCACATCCAAATTGCAGCTAGAGATAGCAACATTCACCTCACTTCCAGAACAAGTACACAGAAAATTATTAAGCATATGAAAGACTTGAAAAACATTTGTGTAGGCGGCGGGTGCATAAGGTTGGGTGTTGATATGAAACATTTAATAATTTCAATAATCCTAGCACTTTGGGAGGCCAAAATGGGAGGATCACTTGAGGCCAGGAGTTTGAGACCAGCCTGGGCACCATAGTGAGACCCCGTCTCTATTTTTTTTAAATAAAGAAAAACATTTGAATGATTTTTTTCTTAACTGACATTTAGAAAACATCCACCTCAAATCTTCCTAATCCACAAACTTGTCTAGCACCCCTGGAACATTCACCAAAATAAATTTTTAAATGCTGAATCATAGGTAATATGATAGATGAAACAGTTGAATTAAATTATAAATGTACAACAAGGAAATGCTGGGGAAATTATCAAATATTTTAAAATTAATAAACACACATAGCAATAAACAATGAGTGGAAGAAAAACATTTCAAAGAAAGGTGGAAAATATTTTGTATCAATTAAAAATGAAAACACATCTCGGCAAATGACTGGGGATACAGATAGAACAGTGTTAAAGGAAAATAAGCCTCAAATGTCTGTGTTAGAAAAGAAGGAAGAGCTGAGTAAATAGGTAACTTTCGCTTGCAGAAATACTACACATCAGCAAATTAATTCCAAAGTAACGTCGAGGAAAAACATAAAATGGCAAGCAAATATATACGTGCATATGTACGTATATTCATAAATGACAAACAGGACAGAAAAATCAGTGACATCAATTTTGTTCCTTAGAAGAAACAGGAAAATTGACCCCAAAAAACTTTCCAGGCCACATTTGGTCATGATGGAAATATTTTGGCACTTCCTGGTTAAGCTCAACACCAACTTGCACCCAAAACCAATAATTTCATTCCTAGGTAAATATGTCTAATTAATTCAGCATATGTATGCAAGGGATCACACAGAAACACGATTATCAAGGCCCGAGTTATAAAAGAGAAAATCCGGAAACAACACAAATGTCCATGATAAAAAGAGTGGATAATTACATGTTGATAAAGTTATGTATGGACTATTAAACTGCAATCCAAAAGAATAAAATAGAACTATAAAATTCAATATGTATATGGTGTCATAGAAACACAAATGTGAGAAAAAGAAAGAAAAATACAAAATTTATATTTTTTAAAATTTGAAACAACTATATATGTGAGTGCTTAGGGTGTGTGTGTGTGTGTGTGTGTATAACCATATGTATATAAACGCACACATACGCACACATATAGAATGTCCCGGCCAGGCATGGTGGCTCACACCTGTAATCTCAGCACTTTGGGAGGCTGAAGTAGACAGATCACTTGAGGTTAGGAGTTCAAGACCAGCCTGGCCAACATGGAGAAACCTCCTCTCTACTAAAAGTACAAAAATTAGGTGGGCGTGATGGTGGGTGCCTGTAAATCCAGCTACTTAGGAGGCTGAGGCACGAGAATTGCGTGAACCTGGGAGGTGGAGGCTGCAATGAGCCGAGGTCTCACCACTGCATTCCAAACTGGGTGACGAAGTGAGATTGCGTCTCAAAAAAAAAAAAAGTTCTAAAAGTTGTGACTTGGGTGTGGCAGATTGTGACATACTGCCAGCTGCTAGAAATGCTGGGGCAGGAGGATTGCTTGAACTCTGAAGTCAAAGAACAGCCTGGGGAAAATAGCACATGAAGAAGAGTTTGAATCTCAGATAAAAACAACAAAAATACATCAAAAGTCTTTAATGTAAGCCAAGCATTCAGTCATCTCCTGTATGAGAGATTGGATCTGAGACGTGTTTTGAGTTGGTTATAGTGAAGGATGCAAGGTGTCAATTCTAGTTGGAACAATTTCCAGGAAGCCATGTTCCGCTCTTGACCAAACAGCCACTGGGCCTCATGCAAGGTAGAAATAGCCTGCATACGTCATCCTCCCATGATGTGGTCAGCATGTAAACTGCATGAGCCCCTCACAACATCCTGTGTGCTGCTGAACTGAGCTGGGGCGCAGCCGCCTGTCTGCACCGGCAGCACCATGTCGCTCATGGTCGTCAGCATGGCGTGTGTTGGTGAGTCCTGGAAGGGAATCGAGGGAGGGAGCGGTGGGGTGGAGATCTGGGCCTGGAGTGGAGATATGGGCCTGGAGTGGAGATATGGGCCTGGAGTGGAGATATAGGCCTGGAGTGGAGATATGGGCCTGGGGTGGAGATATGGGCCTGGAGTGGAGATATGGGCCTGGAACTGTAGATATGGGCCTGAAGTAGAGATATGGGCCTGGAGTAGAGATATGGGCCTGGAACTGTAGATATGGGCCTGGAGTGGAGATATTGGCTTGGAGTGCAGATATGGACCTGGAATTGAGATACGGGCCTGGAGGTGGAGATATGGGCCTAGAGTGGAGATATGGGCCTGGAGGTGGAGATATGGGCCTGGAACTGTAGATATGGGCCTGGAGTAGAGATATGGGCCTGGAGTGGAGATGTTGGCTTGGAGTGCAGATATGGGCCTGGAATGGAGACACGGGCCTGGAGGTGGAGATACAGGCCTGGAGGTGGAGATATGGGCCTGGAGTGTAGATATGGGCCTGGAGTAGAGATATAGGACAGAGGTGGAGATATAGGCCTGGAGTGGAGATATGGGCCTGGAGTAGAGATATAGGACGGAAGTGGAGATATGGGCCTGGAGTGGAGATATGGGCCTGGAGGTGATGTACAGATGGATCATCCATCATGATCTTTCTTTCCAGGGTTCTTCTTGCTGGAGGGGCCCTGGCCACATGTGGGTGAGTCCTTCCCCCAAACCTTAGGTTGTCATCTCCCCACATAAGATGATGTTCCTGAAACGGGAGGCAGGCGACACAGGGGGTTGACTGATGGGCTGACCATGGGAAGCCATGTGGGAATCTCTCATGAACTAGGAAAAGGAAGCCAGGGGAAGCTTCGCCACAGTTCTGTCCTAGCCCTCCCCGGCCTTTCTTTCCCTTGGCTGAGTCTGTGGGGACCCAGGGGGAGACTGAAGTGCTCAAAGGAGTGGTGTGCAGGGAGGAAGTGGTGTCACCGGCAGAGGAAGGGAGAGAAGCAGTGCAAGGAACAACAGGCCTCTGAGGACAAGAGCATAACTCACACCCTCCAGCGTTTCCATGACGGTAGGGGCTGCAATGTGGCTGCTGTCATTCTACCTAAGAGGTGGGGGAACCACAGTCATGACCCTGACATTCCAGATCTTCTAATAGGGGCTCAGTTGTTTATTATGGTTCATGCATTAGCTGATCATGCCCTCCATCCTGTGTCTACCTTGTGTTCTTTTATGTAAGTAATTTTGCAGTGTTAAAATCTAGTAAGAGTCGCTTCTTCAGCACCTGCTCAAAGTTCTCAGCTGACACTTGCTGTAGGGAGACGCCATGTCTATGCGGGATGGGTCCTTCCTGTAGCCCTGGGCACCCAGGTGTGGTAGGAGCCTTAGAAACGTGGAAATGGGAGAATCTTCTGAGCACAGGGAGGGAGGGGCGGCTCCACATCCTCCTCTCTAAGGTAGTGCCTCCTTCTCCCCCAGGTGGTCAGGACAAGCCCTTCCTCTCTGCCTGGCCCGGCACTGTGGTGTCTGAAGGACAACATGTGACTCTTCAGTGTCGCTCTCGTCTTGGGTTTAACGAATTCAGTCTGTCCAAAGAAGACGGGATGCCTGTCCCTGAGCTCTACAACAGAATATTCCGGAACAGCTTTCTCATGGGCCCTGTGACCCCAGCACATGCAGGGACCTACAGATGTTGCAGTTCACACCCACACTCCCCCACTGGGTGGTCGGCACCCAGCAACCCTGTGGTGATCATGGTCACAGGTCAGAGGCTTTCTGTCTGGGCTTCTCACTGTCCCACCTCCTGAATCCCAGAGCTTCTGGTGGGGGTGTCCATCAGGGTCCAATCATCCAGGCCCAGACTGTATTTGGGGTAAAGGGGGATTCAGTACAGAGAAATAGTTGCTGTGGTGGGAAGAATAATTGTCCCCAGTGATGGCTACATGGTAATCCATGAACCCTGTGACTATTTATGTCATAGGGCAGGGGACTGAAGGGGAAGATGGAGCTCAGGTTGTTGATGGGTTGACCTTGCGATGGGGAGACAGCCTGGACTGTCCTGCTGTGCTCAGAGTAATCACAAGGGTCCTCATGAGAGGAGGAGGAAGAGGAAAGTGGGGTTAGAGCAACGTCGTGGGAGGGAGACTCCATCAGCCACAGCGGGCTTTGAAGATGGGGGAAGGCCATGAGCCACAAAGGCAGTTGGCCTCTAAGGGCTGGAGAAGTCAAGGGAACTGATTCTTCCCTGAGTCTCCAGAGGAAACACAGCCCTGTAGATGCCTTGATTTTAGCCCAGAGAGAACTGGGTCCGATTTCTGTTCTCCAGAAGTGGAAGGGGTCATTGTATTCTCTCCTGCCCCATGTTTGTGACAATTTTCTCCAGCAGCAACAGGAAACCAACACAGGAACCCAGGTGAAGCACAAGTTAAGAAACCAAACAAGGAGAAGGTTGGCTACACTGATTTTAGCATGGGTGGGATACTGATGCTACCACCAGGCTCGATCCACATAGGGAGGGGTTGATGCTCCTGGAACCAGCACCAGGGGCCACCCTATGGAAGCTGGGGCCATGGAGAAGGCACAGACATGACAGGAGAGGCTCCCAATCCCCATCAGGAACAGGGACACTGATGCCTGCCTTACTGATGAGTTCGTACCTCCTGCCAGCCTTTCCAATCTGTCCAAAAGAGATTGATTCAGGCTGCTAAGAGCCTGGACATGCAGCCTGTCGTGGTTCCTCTTCCACCCCCACATAAACACCAGGAAAGAGATTAGTGGGAAACAGATACAACAGCATAAGAGGTGACACTGAGCACAGTGGGAAGGGAATCAGGGCTACTAGAGACAGAGAGACAGGGAAGAGGGAGGGAGACAGATGGAGGGACCTGCAACAGGGGTTATGGGCACAAAAGAACACGGAGACACAGAGAGGAAGGAGAGAGATAGACACCATGGAGGGGAAGCCTCACTTATTTCAGGTCCCATGAATGGGATGAGAAAGGGAGACGCCTTCTGAACTCACAACCTCTCTTCTTAGGAGTCCACAGAAAACCTTCCCTCCTGGCCCACCCAGGTCCCCTGGTGAAATCGGGAGAGACGGTCATCCTGCAATGTTGGTCAGATGTCAGGTTTGAGCGCTTCCTTCTGCACAGAGAGGGGATCACTGAGGACCCCTTGCGCCTCATTGGACAGCTCCACGATGCGGGTTCCCAGGTCAACTATTCCATGGGTCCCATGACACCTGCCCTTGCAGGGACCTACAGATGCTTTGGTTCTGTCACTCACTTACCCTATGAGTTGTCGGCTCCCAGTGACCCTCTGGACATCGTGGTCGTAGGTGAGAGAATACAGACCTGCCTCTCACCCTTGCTGGGAGATGGAGTGAATGATCTAGGACTGGAAGCCCCAGGTGGTCATGAGGAAGATGAGTGTGGGGTTCCTATGGAGAGAAAGTGACTTGGTGAGGTCTGTACCAACAAAGGCAGAGAAACAGGAGACACAAGTACAGACCTCATGTCATAACATAGAAGCCAGACACAGGGGCCATACAAGGTGTTAGAAAAAGAGATAAAGAGGTAAAGAAGACACAGAGAGACAGATATATCCCAGAGAGAGGTGTCCTTCTATGCTGACTTTGTTCAGAGACCAGGCACAGGTTAGAAGGTTCCATTCTGTTTTACCTCTACAAAGTGTTCTCTCCCAGGAGAACCCAAAGAGACACATCTATCTGGCCTGAGTTGGGCCGTGTGGCCCCAGGCTGGTGGCACCTACAGATGCTGTGTTTATTCTTAAACCTCTGCCTTCCGTGCAGTGGAGCTGTCGTCGTCGCAGGACACCATGGCCCCAGGTGAGGGAGCAGAACACCAACCCCTGTATGTTGTGAGTTCCTGGAGTCCCCATACTGGATTCTGAGGCTCATATTCAAATAGCACCACATGTTATAGGATTACTGAGAACAAAAGCCCACAGAGAGACACGGAGTGAAATCAGGGAAATCAAAAAGCAAAGACATGAACACACACACAGAATGAGCCAGAAGAAGGGAATTGAGAGACTCACAGACACATAAAGAGATAGAAAAAGAGGGCAGAGAAGTGGAGCGTATGATGGAAGGAAGCAGAGAAAAGCCCTAAAATCAGAGCCCTGAGGGAGGGGCACAAAGACAGGGAAAGATAAAGATGTGGGGATGGATTGCAGAGACTCCAAAAGGGAACTAGAGAGACTGAGAGGCAGAGAAAGACAAGGAGATGGAGAGAGACAGATGATAGATGGATAGATAGATATAGATAGATGAAAGATAAAAGGTAGATGATAGATAATAGAGAGACAGGTGATAGACAAATAGATGATGAATGACTGATAGATGATATAGATAGACAAGTAGAAAGACAGACAGATGATATATAAATAGATATAGAGAGATAGAAAGATAAACACATGATGATAGATGGATAGATGCATACATACATACATTGATTGATAGATGATAGATAACAGAGAGATAGGTCATAGATACACAGATGATGATAGATGATAGATACATACATAGATAAATGATAGATCGATCAATAGATAGTAGATAGAAATATGCAGAAAGTTATGAGCAAGACAGAAAGTGAGAGACTCAGAATTAAAGAAAGAGGAAGATCAAGTCAACCAGTCCAAGGAGGGTCAGAGAGAATAAAATGGTACAAAAAAAGAAAACATAGCTAGGGATGGAGAAGTGAGGTCAGAGACCTAGAGAGACAGAGAAGGTGGAAGGAGGAAATAGACATGAAGAGAGATGGGGGTGGAGGGTGAGAGAGAGAAAGAGAGCATTAAGTCATAGAGCAGGGGAGTGAGTTCTCAGCTCAGGTGTGAGGAGAGCTGTGACAACGAAGAACCTCCCTGAGGAAACCACCTCTTCTCCTTCCAGGTCTATATGGGAAACCTTCTCTCTCAGCCCAGCCGGGCCCCACGGTTCAGGCAGGAGAGAATGTGACCTTGTCCTGCAGCTCCCGGAGCTTGTTTGACATTTACCATCTATCCAGGGAGGCAGAGGCCGGTGAACTTAGGCTCACTGCGGTGCTGAGGGTCAATGGAACATTCCAGGCCAACTTCCCTCTGGGCCCTGTGACCCACGGAGGGAACTACAGATGCTTCGGCTCTTTCCGTGCCCTGCCCCACGCGTGGTCAGACCCGAGTGACCCACTGCCCGTTTCTGTCACAGGTGAGAAAACACCATGCCTGTCCCATGTCTTGTGATCCTAGAGCCATAGCTGAGGAGCTTCCTGCTGATGATGGAGAGAAGCATGGACAGATGCCGAGACAGAACACACAGCATGGGTGTAAGGGCGGGGTCAGGGGGCAGGATGGCAGACAGGGCACCTCCAAACCCTCCTGTATGGCCTGCAAGGAGGCCCTTGATCAGGGTTCCAGGCACCCAGGCAGATGGAGAAAGAGGTCAGAACAGACCCAGAGGAGGGAGACTGGGCTCTGCCTGGGGAGATCAGAGGTTCTCTCAGCCCCTCAACCTTACCCACTTCCCAGAAGCCCATCCTGGCCTGTCACCCACAGAGAGATGTCATCACCAGCAACGCCTACACCCTTTTCTTTTTGTTTGAAGAAATATTTATTGAGGTGAAATATACCTATGTAATTTACCACCTTTACCATTTTTAAGTGTGAAGTCTACTGTTCATAAATACATTTATAGGCTGGGCACGGTGGCTCACTGTTGTAATCCCAACACTTTGAGAGGCCAAGGCAGGTGGATCATTTGAGATCAGGGGCTCAAGACCACCCTGGCCAACATGGGGAAAATCCATCTGTACTAAAAATACAAAATAATAATAATAATGATAATAATTAGCCGAGCATGGTGGCACATGCCTGTAGTCCCAGCTACTTGGGAGGGTTGGGCAGGAGTTGCACTTAATTGCAGGAGGCGGAGGTTGCAGTGAGCTGAGATCATGCCACTGCACTGCAGCCTGGGCAACAGAGAGAGACACTCTCTCAAAATTAATTAATTAATTAATTAGTATTCTTTTTTTTTTACCCTCCACCCTTCCCTTCCTGGCCTCTGGTAGCCACCATTCTACTCTCTACCTTTGTGAGATCCACCTTTTAGCTCCTGCATATGAGTGAGAAATGGAAATACTTGTAATGACCTCCAGTTCCATTCATGTGGCTGTAAATGACAGGATGTTACTCTTTCTATGGATGAGTTGTCCCTATTGTGTGTGTGTACCACATTCTCTCCATCCATTCACCCACTGATGGGCAGGTAGGTTGATCCACATCTTGGCTACTGTGAACACTGCTGGAACAGTCATGGGAGTGCAGATGTCACTTCGATACGCTGATGTCCTTTCCTTTGGGTTTACACCCAGTCATGGAATTGCTAGATCCTCTGGAAGTGTCTTTTTACATTTTGTTTTATGGTTTTTGTTTTTGTTTTTGTTTTTTTTAGACAGTTTCACTCTTGTTGCCCAGGCTGGAGTGCAGTGGTGCCATCTGGGCTCACTGCAACCTCCACCTCCAGGATTCAAGAGATTCCCCAGCCTCAGCCTCCCAAGTAGCTGGGTTACTGGCTCCCACCACCACACTCGGCTAATTTTTATATTTTTAGTAGAGACAGAGTTTCGCTATATTGGCCAGGCTGCTCTTCAACTCCTGACCTCAAGTGACCTACCCACCTCGGCCTCCCAATGTGCTGGGATTACAGGCATGAACCACTGTGCCCGACCTCATTTTATTTTTTGAGGAACTTCCATACTCTTCTCCTCTGTAATGGCTGTACTAATTTGCATTCGTATCAGCAGTGTACCAGATGCAACCCTGGTTGACTCAGCAGAGCAAGAGACGTGCAGTAAGAGAGAATTTAGCTTATTTATGCACACGACACTTCCACTCACTCACTCGTTCAGCCAATGCCCCATGCTCTGGCTGTGCAGTGTGGAATCTTTTCCTATTGTTGCCATAACAAATTTCCACAAGCTTCGTGGATGAAAACATGTTTTTCTTAATTATCTCACAGTGCTGTAACTCAGAAGTATGAACTGCATTTCACTGGGCTGATATCAAAGGGACAGTAAGGCTGGATTTCTTTTTAAGGTTCCAAGCAAGAATCTGCTCCTTAACGTTTCCCAGCTCCTAGAGGCTCCCACGTTCCTGGGCCCCTGGTCCCCTTCCTCCTTCCTCCTTCCTCAAAGCCCACAAAGGCTGGTCACGTCTCACATGGCATCATTCAGACTCTTCTTCTTTACCCATACCTTTTTCTCTGAATCCTGCTCTGCCTTCTTCCTCATCTTTTAAGGACTTTGGGATTCTATTGGGGTCACCAAGATAATCCATCTCAATCTCCCTAAAATCATCCAGCGTACCCTCTTTTTAAGTTCAGCTGATTAGCAACCGTAATGCCATCTGCAATCTTCATTCCTCCTTTCCTGTAAAATAACATATTCACAAGCTATGGAGGCTAAGACAGGGACATTTTGGGGGTGGGGCAGCATTCTCCTGCCTTCCACAAATGGTAAACAGGATGCATTTGGCCTCTGCTCTTGGGACGCTGATATTGCAGATGGGTAAATGCGAGGGCAGAGAATGAATGCACAAGGGTACCAATAAATGAATGATCCATTGGGAAGCATCTGTGCACCAAATCTGGGGTTTTTTGTGTGTGTGTGTGTTTTTTGTTTTCTTTTTTTTTTTTGAGTAGAGTCTCTCTCTGTTCCACAGGCTGGAGTGCAGTAGCACAATCTCAGCTCATTGCAACCTCTGCCTCCTGGGTTCATGCAATTCTCCTGCCTCAGCCTACCGAGTAGCTGGGATTACAGCTGTGCGCCACCACACTCGGCTAATTTTTTTGGTATATTTTTTAGTAGAAATGAGGTTTCACCATGTTGTGCAGGCTGTCTCAAACTCCCAATCTCAAGTGATCCCACCGCCTTAGCGTCCCTAAGTGCAAAGATTACAGGCGAGAGCTACTGCGCCCAGCCAGGATTTAAAATAAGTAATAGATAATGCTGAGTATATAATTTCAGGTGACAGAGAAGGTCTCACTGATCAGATAATATTTGTGACCTTAATGGAAAAAATGGATTCAACCCTTGGAAGATTGGCGGAAGGATTTTCCACACTGAGCTCTCAGCCGTGAAGGCACAAAGGTGGAAACATTCTTAGTTCAAGGAAGAGGCTCTGCCTCAAATGCTGGGAATGAGATGGGGAGAATGACAAGACAACTGTAGAGAGATGGAGAGCACACTGGGTACACAGGAAACTAAGGAGGAACAAGGAGCATGTTTTTGATACTCACAGCCCTTGGATTCAACTCAGAGCTAACTAGGAATCCCTACCTGATTAACAGTGACCGACATGAAAATAAGGGAGGCCCAGGTGCGTAACTGGAATCTAGGAGACCGTGGAAAAGGCAATTCCCGCCCCACTGGTGAAACGTAGGGTTGATTTACACACTAAATGAATGAAAGATGGATATAAGCTATGCTTGTGAGGTAGAATCATTTGCAGGGAGGGCTTGCTGGGTTTGATTTTTCCTAGTAGTTTAATCCTTGTTTCATTAATTTCTTTCTGAGATGTGTTTTTTTTCTACATCTAAATCAATACCTGGCAGAGGAGCGATAGACACATGAGGGGTGGTGCAAATGAAGGGACCTAGTATAATATAATATACAAGACTGTGGATGGGGGCTCACACCTGTAACCCAACACTTTGGGAGGCCAAGGCGGGTAGATCACTTAAGGGTAGGAGTTTGAGACCAGCCTGGCCAACATGGTGAAACCCCGTCTGTACTAAAAATACAAAAATTAGCCTGGTGCATTGGCACCTGCCTGTAATCCCAGCGACTGGGGAGGCTGAAGCAGAAGAATGGCTTCAACCCTGGAGGCAGAGGTTGAACTGAGATCGCATCACTGCACTCCAGCCTGACACAGGGGGACTCTGTCTCAAAAAATAAAAATAAAACATACATAATTATGACACACAGAAATTACAAAGGCAACTGGATACCAACCATCATTTTTCTATTTCTCTGTGTTTAATTCTTTGACCCTTTATCTTATCCATTAAACAATCAGGTTAAACCTCTTCCTTATTTGGCTTTCTGTGAGCTTGGGATCATATGGAAAATGTGAAAGCCTCCTGAACCCACCAGCACAGGTCCTGGAATAGAGAACGTGCTCTGTTCATGGCATAAAACTTGCCCCTTCACCCAAATCCCCCAATTCATCTCTACTTCCAATCACCTATGGAGATACAGATAGATCATGGGGAGGTAAACACTAATACTCTTTGGAGTGAGCTCAGATCTTGGACTCAGAGACCAGTGCCAGCACTAGCCCCTGGTCACATTTCGTACTAACTCACAGAAGGACAGGCTGTATTGAAACAATAAACGACGGAGAGGGCGGTCCTTCCCCGTGCTTCTCGGGTGGAATAGCAGCCTAATATATGTCTCAGCAGATCACAAAAAGTAGCATGTTGTTCCTGGGCTACATCATTATTTCATGGCTGTTTGATTTAAGTCAGTTCTACTTCACTTTTTTTATCTTGATTTCATTTTTTCTTTCTTTTCTTGGAGAATGTAATTTTTTTTGAGTCAAGAGGGTTGTGGTGGTAGAAACTGTAAAGCACATTCGCTGTGTATCAATCCCAATCCAGTCTTCCCAGAGAAGATTCTAAACACCTCCTGGAATGCACCTGGGCCTATACCAATTCCTATCACTCACCGTCACTCCAGGGAGACAGAACACACAGAGAACACATTACACAGGCAGGTTCATTACTAACAGATAAGCAGCGAGTGACAACAGAAACCTACATTTCAATGTGAGCCAGTCCCTCAAGGCTCAGAAAAGCTGCTCGAGACATGTGGAGTCACCCCATATGCAGTGTATCTGGGGGAAATCAAAAAGCAGCCCAGCCTGGGTTTTGTACCCTGGAGCCACAGGAAGCACTCAGCTAAAGCACTGCATGACGTCCTCCTCCAGGAAGAACAGGAAGACAGCCCAGGCTGTTCTGGGATGTTCCTCCTGATCTCAGGACGTTGCTGTCTTAGTCCATTTTTGTTGCTCTAAAGGAACACTTGAGCCTGGGTAACTTCTAAAGAAAAGAAATGTGTTTGCCTCACAGTTCTGCAGGCTGTACTGGAAGCATGGCACCAGCATCTATTTCTTGTGACGGCCTCAGGCTGCTCCCACTCTGGCAGAAGGGAAGGAGGGTCTGTCTGTGCAGAGACCACAGAGATCACACGGCAAGAGAGGGACCAAGGGGGAGGGGGAGCGATGGAGCTTCCAAGCTCTTTTAACAACCAGTTCTCCAGGAACTAATAGAGGGGGAACTTGCTAACCCCGTCTCCTTGGAACAGCATTGATCTGTTCATGATGGATCCACCTCCATGACCCAAACAACTCCCAAGAGGCCCAACCTCCCACCCTGGGGGTTACATTTCAATGTGAGGTTTGAAGGGGTCAAACATCTAAACTAAAGCAGTTGTATCCTCAGCACGTTCTATGGTTACTACAACTGAGAAAGCAGGAGGAAGCTAGGTCTCCCGCCATCTGGGTGCTTGTCCTAAAGAGACGTTGTATGTGGTTACCTGTCAATCAAGAAATGTGAGACAATTCATATAGAGGAACTGCTATGATTAGCTTCTTATTGGTGTCTTGTCTTCCTCCAGGTAACTCCAGACACCTGCACGTTCTGATTGGGACCTCAGTGGTCATCATCCCCTTTGCTATCCTCCTCTTCTTTCTCCTTCATCGCTGGTGTGCCAACAAAAAGAGTAAGTCTCACGAAGCAGAAGCCAGAGAGCTCAGGGCCATGTGGGGAAGCAGGATGGGAGCACTCAGGTGTGTGTTCCTCACAGGCAGGATGGTCCCTGGCCCAAGGCAGGAGCCACAGAGGCAGGACTTTCTAGAGAGAGCACCAGACTCCCTGCCTCTGCCTTCAGCTCACAGACCATTGCCTGATTCTGAACCGTATCCTCACATCCCCTGCAGCCACTCACATCCAGGAGAAGGTTCCATGACAGGCAGAAAGTGGGACACAGAATCAATAGGATGGGAACTCAGAGCTATACATGGGATGGATCCTTGAGCTCAGAGAGATAGAATGTCTGAGTCTGCTGTTGGCAACTGAGGGACCTCAGGCACCTATGGCCTCCCCCTGTATGTTGGTATCTGCTTATGAAATGAGGACCCAGAAGTGCCCTCCGAGCTGTTTTGACGACTTCCGTCTTCTACAGATGCTGTTGTAATGGACCAAGAGCCTGCAGGGAACAGAACAGTGAACAGGGAGGTAGGTGCTCCTCCGCCCAGCCTCGTGGCTAGTCTTATTCCCAAAGAGTCCTGGAAAATGTGAGCACCCTCCCTCACTCAGCATTTCCCTCCCTCCAGGACTCTGATGAACAAGACCCTCAGGAGGTGACATACGCACAGTTGAATCACTGCGTTTTCACACAGAGAAAAATCACTCGCCCTTCTCAGAGGCCCAAGACACCCCCAACAGATACCAGCGTGTAACACGGAACTTCCAAATGCTGAGCGCAGATCCAAAGTTGTCTTCTGTCCACTAGCACCACAGTCAGGCCTTGATGGGATCTTCTAGGGAGACAATAGCCCTGTCTCAAAACCGGGTTGCCAGCTCCCATGTACCAGCAGCTGGACTCTGAAGGCGTGAGTCTGCATCTTAGGGCATCGCTCTTCCTCACACCACGAATCTGAACATGCCTCTCTCTTGCTTACAAATGTCTAAGGTCCCCACTGCCTGCTGGAGAGAAAACACACTTGCTTAGCCCACAATTCTCCATTTCACTTGACCCCTGCCCACCTCTCCAACCTAACTGGCTTACTTCCTAGTCTACTTGAGGCTGCGATCACACTGAGGAACTCACAATTCCAAACATATAAGAGGCTCCCTCTTAACACGGCACTTAGATACGTGCTATTCCACCTTTCCTCAGAGTATCTTTCAGCCTTCTGTCAGCAGTAAAACTTATAAATTTTTTTTATAATTTCAATGTAGTTTTCTCTTCTTCAAGTAAACATGTCTGCCCTCATGGTTTCGTCAATGGGACTCTTTTCTTGCCTAAGGCTTCCGGTGTTATCATTACCACGTCCACATAACCCCATCTGTTCTCCGCTGGGTTCTCACCCCTGGACTCTGAGCTTCTGGAAGCAGGGTGGAGCCTGAATTGTCTCTGAGACTCCAATTTCCATCCAAAGATGCAGCACATAGGAGGTTCCAAGGATGGTGAATCAGATGAACAAGTGATATTCTTACTCTCTGCAGATCTGGAAAGCTGGCAGAGTCATTCCACGATGAAACATTTGTAGAGTCATAGGCCTTGTTAGTCTCATCTCCACAGGGACACGTATCAACACATCATCTTTCATACTACTATAAATAGACAGTCACTCCTCCATATCTCTGGGGTTTACACATGTTTATTGAATCAGCAATAAATCAAAAATATTTTGAGAAAAAAAATCCCCGAAGTTTCAAAAAGCAAAAAACTATGTTGAATCGACACAAATTGAGTGGCGTGTAGGCTGTGTCAGGAATTATAAGTAATCAAGAGATGATTTCATGTATACAGGAGGATGTGCATGGGTTCTATGCAATTGCTATGCTATTTTTTTTTTTTTTGAGACAGTCTCACTCTCTCACCCAGGCTGGAGTGCAGTGGCGTGATCTCAACTCACTGCAACCTCCGCCTTCCAGGTTCAAGCGATTCTCTTCCCTCAGCCTCCCCAGTAGCCTCCCCTAGGATTACAGGCACGTGCCACCCTGCACAGATAAATTTTTTTGTGTGTATATTTTTAGTAGAGATGGGGTTTCAGAATGTTGGACCAGCTGGTCTTGAACTCCTGACCTTGTGATCTACCCAGCTCAGCCTCCCAAAGTGCTGGGATTACAGGCGTGAGCCACGGTGCCCAGCTTCACTATGCCATTTCATGCAAGGGGCTTGAGCATCTGCAGATTTTGGTATCTGAATGGGGATCCTGGAACCAATCACCCAGGTATAGTGAAGGACCATGGTATATAATTTTTATTTGTCAATCTTAAAAATAAAGCATAAAAAATTTACAACAACAAGATAAAAAATAAGAAGTGTTTTTATAGTGTGAGGATAAGTTTAGATTTATTTTTTCCTACGTGTAACCCTATGGTCCTGTGTTATTTGTTGAGAAAATATTCTATTCCACCTTAAACTACATGGCAGCCTTTGTCAACTATAAAGGGACTGTGTATCCACAGATGTATTTTAGACACAGTTTTCTGTCCAGTGGTTCTCTGTATCCCCTCTCATGAGGATGCTGCATTTTATATAAACTTATAGAACCCCTTAAAATTTGGTAACCTGAGTCCTCTGATTTGTTATTATAGGTTATTTAGTTTGCTTTTTTTTTTTTTCTTGAGACAGACTCTTCCTCTGTCACCCAAGCTGGAGTTCAGTGGCTTGAGCTCAGCTCACTGCAACCTCCGTCTCCCAGGTTCAAGCTATTCTGATGCCTCTGGTTTAGTAGTAGAAACTCAAGCAGGAAAATTAGAATGGCTTCTTGTCACAATTACTCTGATAATGTTAATAATACCTGTTAGACATTTTGCACATTACATATGAAGAAGAGTTTGAATCTCAGATAAAAACAAAAATACATCAAAAATCTTTAATGTAAGCACAGAATTCAATCATCTCGTGTATGAGAGGTTGGATCTGAGACGTCTTTTGAGTCTGGTCGTAGTGAAGGACGCAAGGTGTCAATTCTAGTGAGAACAATTTCCAGGAAGCCATGTTCCGCTCTTGAGCGAGCACCCACTGGGCCTCATGCAAGGTAGAAAGAGCCTGCGTACGTCACCCTCCCATGATGTGGTCAACATGTAAACTGCATGGGCAGGGCGCCAAATAACATCCTGTGCGCTGCTGAGCTGAGCTGGGGCGCGGCCGCCTGTCTGCACAGACAGCACCATGTCGCTCATGGTCGTCAGCATGGTGTGTGTTGGTGAGTCCTGGAAGGGCATCGAGGGAGGGAGTGCGGGGATGGAGATCGGGGCCCAGAGTTGGAGATATAGGCCTGGAAGTGGAGTTATGGGCCTAGAGATGGAGTGATGGGCCTAGAAGTGGAGATCTGGGCCTGGAGTGGAGATCTGGGCCTGGAGTGGAGATATGGGCCTGGAGGTTGAGATATGGGCCTGCAGTAGAGATATGGGCTTGTAGTGGAGACATGGGCCTGGAGATGGAGATATGGGCCTGGAGATGGAGATATGGGCCTGCAGTAGAGATAGGGGCCTGGAGTGGAGATATGGGCCTGGAGTGGAGATATGGGCCTGGAGGTGGAGATATGGGCCTGGAGGTGGAGATATGGGCCTGGAGTGGAGATATGGGTCTGGAGGTGGAGATACGGGCCTGCAGTAGAGATATGGGCCTGGAGTGGAGATATGGGCCAGGAGTGGAGTTATGGGCCTAGAGATGGATATCTGGGCCTGGAGTGGAGATATGGGCCTAGGAAGGAGATATGGGCCTGGGTGTGGAGATATGGGACTGGAGAGGTGATATGGGCCTGGAGTGGAGATATGGGCTTAGGGTGGAGATCTGGGCCTGGGGCGGAGATATGGGACTGGATTGGAGATAGGGGCCTAGGGTGGAGATCTGAGCCTGGATTGGCGATATGGGCCTAGGGTGGAAATATCAGCCTGGAGTGGAGATATGGGCTTGGGGTGGGGATATGGGCCTGGAAACTGGGTCTCTGCACAGCCGACAGCCCTGTTCTTGGGTGCAGGTAGGCACTGAGGGTGAGTTTAACTTCAGCCCAGGAAGGGCCTGGCTGCCAAGACTCACAGCCCAGTGGGGGCAGCAAGGGAGGCCTGGTTTGCCTGCAGATGGATGGTCCATCATGATCTTTCTTTCCAGGGTTCTTCTTGCTGCAGGGGGCCTGGCCACATGAGGGTGAGTCCTTCTCCAAACCTTCGGGTGTCATCTCCCCACATAAGAGGATTTTCCTGAAACAGGAGGGAAGTCCTGTCGGGGAGTCTCTCATAAACTAGGAAGAGAGGACCCTGGGGTGCTCAGCCCACATTTCTGACCTCGCCTCCCTGGCCTCTCAACCCCTTGGCAGAGTCAAGTTCTGTGGGGACCAGGGTTAGACTGGGGTGCTCAAAGCTGGGGTGTGTGGTTGGGAAGTGGTAGGAACAGCAGATCCTCTGAGGACAAAGGTGTTACTCACACACTTCAGCGTTTCCATGATGGTAGGGGCTGCAGTGTGGCTGCTGTCATTCTACCAGAAGAGGTGGGAAACCACAGCCATGGCCCTGACATTCCAAATCCTCTGATGGGGGCTCAGTTGTTTATTTTCGTTCAGGCATCCGCTGATATCCATTCACAAAGGACATGCCCTCCACCTCATGTCTACCCTGTGTTGTTTTATGTGAGTAATCTTACAGTATTAAAATCTAGTAGGAGTCTCTTTACTCAGCACTTGCTCAAAGTTCTCAGCTGAGGCTTTTGTTGTAGGGAGACACCATGTCTTTGCGGGATGGGTCCTTCCTTCAGCCCTGGGCACCAAGGTGTGATAGTAGCCATAGAAACGTGGAAAGCGAGGAGAATCTTCTGAGCACAGGGAGGGAAGGGCAGTTCCACATCCTCCTCTCTAAGGCGGCGCCTCCTTCTCCCCAAGGTGGTCAGGACAAGCCCTTGCTGTCTGCCTGGCCCAGCCTTGTGGTGCCTCTAGGACATGTCATTCTTCGGTGTCACTCTTATCTTGGGTTTAACAACTTCAGTCTGTAAAAGGAAGGTGGGGTGCCTGTCCCTGAGCTCTACAACAGAATATTCTGGAACAGCCTTTTCATGGGCCCTGTGACCCCCGCACACACAGGGACATACAGATGTCGGGGTTCACACACACACTCCCCCAGTGGGTGGTCAGCACCCAGCAACCCCCTGGTGATCGTGGTCATAGGTCAGAGGGCTCCTGTCTTGGATTCTCCTTGTCCCACCTCCTGAATCCCAGAGCTTCTGTTGGGCATGTCCTTGAGGGTCCCATCACGCAGGCCCTGACTGTATTTGTGGTAAAGGGGGATTGAATACAGGGAAATGGGTGCTGTGGTGGGAAGAATAATTGTCCCCAGTGATGACTACATTCTAATCCCTGGAGTCTGTGACTATTTATGTTATAGGGGAAGGGACTGAAGGGGAAGATGGAGCTCATGGGGAGACAGCCTGGACTGTCCCACTGGGCTCAGTGTAATCACAAGGGTGCACATGAAAGGAGGAGGAAGAGGGGAGTGGGGATTAGAGCAGTCCAGTGGAAGTCTTCACCAGCTTTGAAGGTGGAGGAAGGCCAAGATCCATGAATGCAGGTGGCCTATAGAGGCTGGAAAAGTCAAGGAACTGATTCTCCAGAGTCTCCAGAGGGAACAAAGCCCTGCAGATGCCTTGATTTTAGCCCAGGAAAAATAGGGTCCAATTTCTGTCTCCAGTACTGGAAGGTGTCAGTGTGGTCTCTCCTGCTGCCATGCTTCTGATAATTTTCTACAGCAGCAACAGGAAACCAACACTGGAACCCAGGTCAAGGACAAGTTAAGAAACAACCCAAGGAAAGCCAGGCATGGTGGCAGGTGCATGTAATCCTAGCGACTCAGGAGGCTGAGGGCAGGAGAATCACTTGAACCCAGGAGACAGAGGTTGCAGTGAGCCTAGACCACACCACTTCACTCCAGCCTGGGTGAAGGAGTGAGACTCTGTCTCCATAATTAATTAATTAATTAAAGAAACCAAACAAGGAGAAGGTTGGCTACCCTGAGATCAGCAAGGGTGGGATGATGATGCCACCACCAGGCTCCATCCACATAGGGAGGGGTTGATACTCCTCCAACCAGCACCAGGAGCCAGCCTATGGAAGCTGGCACCATGGAGAAGGCACAGGCATGGCAAGAGTGGCTCCCAGTCCCCACCAGGAACAGGGTGTGTGGACACTGGTGCCTGCCTTATTCATCAGTTCATACCTTCTGCCAAGGATTGCAATTCATCCAAAAGAGATTGAACCAGGCTGATAAGAGCCTGGATGTGCAGCCTATCCTGGTTCCTCTTTCACCCCCACATAAACAGCAGGAAATACATTAGTGTGAAATAGATACAACACCCCAAGAGATGAGGCTCAGCCCAGTGGGAAGGGAATCAGAGGCTACTAGAGACAGAGGGACAGAGAAGAGGGAGGGAGACAGATGGAAGGACCTGCACCAGGAGTTAAGGGCACAGAAAAGAACATGAAGACACAGAGAGGAAGGAGAGAGACAGACACCAGCAAGGGGAAGCCTCACTCATTCTAGGTGCCATGGATGGGATGATAAAGAGAGACACCTTCTAAACTCACAACCTCTCTTCCTAGGAGTCCACAGAAAACCTTCCCTCCTGGCCCACCCAGGTCCCCTGGTGAAATCAGAAGAGACAGTCATCCTGCAATGTTGGTCAGATGTCAGGTTTCAGCACTTCCTTCTGCACAGAGAAGGGAAGTTTAAGGACACTTTGCACCTCATTGGAGAGCACCATGATGGGGTCTCCAAGGCCAACTTCTCCATCGGTCCCATGATGCAAGACCTTGCAGGGACCTACAGATGCTACGGTTCTGTTACTCACTCCCCCTATCAGTTGTCAGCTCCCAGTGACCCTCTGGACATCGTCATCACAGGTGAGAGTGTCCGGACATTCTCATTGTCATTGGGATGCAGAGTGAATGATCCACGACTTGGAACCCCCAGGTAGTTGTAAGGAAGATGAGCTTGGTATTCTTATGGAGAGAGACTGACTTGCTGAGGTTTGTACCAACAGAGACAGAGAAACAGGAGACACAAGTACAGACCAGGTGTCATAACAGAGGACAGACACAGGGGCCATACAGGGAGTTAGAAAAGACAGAAAGAGTTAAAAGAGACAGACAGACAGACATGTCCCAGAGAGAGGTGTCCCTCCATGCTGACTTTGCTCACAGACCTGGCACAGGTTAGAAGTTTCATTTCTGTTTTACCTCCACAAAGTGTTCTCTACCAGGAGAACCCAAGGACACCCATATTTATGACCTGAGTTGGGCCCTGTGGCCTCAGGCCTTGTGGCACCTACAGGCCATGTTTATTCTGACACCTCTGCCTTCCATGTAATGGAGAGTAATCGTCCCAGGATATCATGGCCCCAGAACACCAACCCCTGTATGCTGTGTGAACTTGTGGTCTCCAGACTGGATTCTGTGGCTCACATTCCAAATAACCCCACATATGAAAGGATCACTGAGAGGCACAGAGAAAAATCAGGAACACCAAAAAGCAAAGACATAAACACACAGAGAATGAGCCAGAGGAAGGAGATTGAGAGACTCACAGACACATAAAGAGAGAGAAAAGAGGGCAGAGGAGTGGTGAGAATGATGGCAGGGAGCAGAGAAAAGCACTAAAATTAGAGTCCTGAGAGAGAGGCACAAGGACATAGAAACATGGAGATGTGGGGATGAATTGCAGAGATTCCAAAGAGAACTAGAGAGACCGAGAGGCAGAGCAAGACAGATGATAGATGGATAGATATAGATAGATGATAAATAGGTAGATGATAGATAATAGGTTAAAGATACATAGATGATGATTGATTGATTCATTAATAGATAATACATAGAGATGATGATGATGAAGACAGATAATACGTACAGATAGAGAGGCAGACAGAAATCATAGAGAGAGAGATGATACATACATATAAATAACAGATGATTGATGGATAGATAGACAAGTGATAGATACATAGATGATATATAGATATAGATGACAGGTAGAGAATTTGTAGATAGGCACCGAATAGATAAATAGATAGATCGACAGATAATAGATAGAAATATGCAGAAAGTTATGAACAGGACACAACGTGAGAAACTTAGAATTTAAAAAAGTAACATCAAGTCAACCAATCCAAGGAGAGTCAGAGAGAATAAAAGAATCCAAAAAGGGAAAACATATCTAGAGGTGGGGAAGCGAGGTCAGAGACCTAGAGAGACAGAGAAGGTGGAAGAAGGAAATAGACATGAAGAGAGATGGGGTGGAGGGTGAGAGAGAGAGAGAGAGAGAGCATTAGGTCATAGAGCAGGGGAGTGAGTTCTCAGCTCAGGTGAAGGGAGCTGTGACAAGGAAGATCCTCCGTAAGGAAAATGCCTCTTCTCCTCCAGGTCTATATGAGAAACCTTCTCTCTCAGCCCAGCCGGGCCCCACGGTTCTGGCAGGAGAGAGCGTGACCTTGTCCTGCAGCTCCCGGAGCTCCTATGACATGTACCATCTATCCAGGGAGGGGGAGGCCCATGAACGTAGGTTCTCTGCAGGGCCCAAGGTCAACGGAACATTCCAGGCCGACTTTCCTCTGGGCCCTGCCACCCACGGAGGAACCTACAGATGCTTCGGCTCTTTCCGTGACTCTCCATACGAGTGGTCAAACTCGAGTGACCCACTGCTTGTTTCTGTCACAGGTGAGGAAACCCCATATCTGTCTCATGTCCTATGATCCTAGAGCCTTAGCTGAGGAGCTTCCTGCTGATGATGGAGAGAAGCATGGACAGATGCAGAGAGAAGACGAAGCTTGGGTGTGAGGGAGGGATCAGGGCACAGGATGGCAGACAGGGCACCTCCAAACCCTCCTACACGGCCTGCATGAAGGCCCGCGGCCAGGGCTCCAGGCACACAGGCAGATGGAGAAAACGGTCAGGAGAGACCCAGAGGAGAGAGACTGGGCTCAGTTTGGGAAGATCAGAGGTTCCCTCAGCCCCTCAACATTACCCATTTCCCAGAAGCCCATCCTGGCCTCTCACCCACACAGGGATGTCATCACCAGCAACCCCTACACCCTTTACTTTTGTTTGAAGAAATATTTATTGAGGATAAATATACCTATATAGCTTACCACCTTTAACATTTTTTTTTTTTTTGAGGCAGAGTCTAGCTCTGTCCCCTATGCTGGAGTGCAGTGGCACAATCTCAGCTCACTGCAACTTCCGCCTCCTGGGTTCAAGTGATTCTCCTGCTTCAGCCACCTGAGTAGCTGGTGCTACAGGCGCGCACCACCACGCCAGGCTACTTTTTGTATTTTTAGTAGAGAGGGGGTTTCACCATGTTGGTCGAGCTGGTCTCCAACTCCTGACCACGTGATCCACCCGCATCTGCCTCCCAAAGTGCTGGGATTACAGGCATGAGCCACCACGCCCAGCCACATTTACCATTTTTAAGTGTAAAGTCTAGTGGTCATAAATACATTTATATATATATATATATATATATATACACACACACACACATATATAAACATATATATATATATATATATATATATATATATATATATTTTTTTTTTTTTTTTTTTTTACCCTCCACCCTTTTATTCCTGGCCTCTGGAAGCCACCATTCTACTCTCTACCTTCATGAGATCCACCTTTTAGCTCTGTATATGGGTGAGAAATGGGAATCTTTGTAATGACTTCCAGTTCCATCCATGTGGCTGCAAATATCAGGATGTTATTCTTTCTATGGATGAGTAGTCTCCACTGTGCGTATGTACTACATTCTCTCTATCCATTCATCCACTGATGGGCAGGTAGGTTGACTCCACATCTTGGCTACTGTGAACAGTGCTGCACCAATCATACGAGTGCAGATATCACTTCGATATATTGATTTACTTTCCTTTGGATATAAACCCAGTAGTGAAATTGCTGGATACTATGAAAGTTCTCTTTTTAGTTATTCGTTTGTTGTTTTGTTTTTGTTTTTGAGACAGTTTCCCTCTGTGCCCAGGCTGGAGTACAAGTGAAGTCATCTTGGCTCATTGCAACCTCCGCCTCCTGGGTTCAAATGATTTTCCTGCCTCAGCCTCCCTAGTAGCTGGGATTACAGGTGCACGCCACCATGCCTGGCTACTTTTTGTTTTTTTTAGTATAGATGGGGTTTCCCCATGTTGGCTGGGCTGCTCTCAAACTCATGACCTCAACTGAGGTGCCCGCCTCGGTCTCCCAAAGTGCCGGGATTACAGGCATGATCCACCTCACCCAACCTCTTTTTAGTTCTTTAAAGGACTTCCACACTTTTCTCCGTAAAGGCTGTACTAATTTACACTCCTACCAACAGGGTATTAGGGTTCTCCTTTCTCTACCACTTTGGCAGGATTTCCTTTGCCTGTCTTGCAGCTAAAAGCCATTTTATTTTATTTCATTTTATTTTGAGATGGAGTTTCGCTCTTGTCACCCAGGCTGGAGTGCAGTGGTGCGATCTCGGCTCACCACAACCTCCACCTCCCAGGTTCAAGCGATTCTCCTGCCTCAGCCTCCCGAGTAGCTGGAATTACAGGCACACGCCACCACGCCCAACTAAATTTTGTATTTTTAGTAGAGACAGTGTTTCTTCATGTGGGTCAGACTGGTCTCAAACTCCCGACCTTATGAGGTTCACCCACCTCAGGCTCTCAAAGGTCTAGGATGACAGACGTGAGCCACCACGCCCGGCCTAAAATCCATTTTAATGGGGTGAGATGAAAACTCACTTTGATTTTAATTTGTGTTTCTCTGATGATGAGTGAAACTGAGCACTTTTTAGTATGTGGGGAAATTTCATGTGTTTTGCTCCTTTTTCAATTAAATCGTTTGTTTTATTGAGTTGTTTGAGCTTCTTATATTTCTAGTTATTAATCCCATCTCAGATGCATAGTTTGCACATATTTGCTCCCAATCTGTGGGTTGTCTCTTCACTTTGTTGGTTTATTTTTAGCGGTGCAGAAGTTGCTTAGTTTGAGGTAATCCCAATGGTCTATTTTTGCTTCGATTACTTGTGTTTTGAAGGTTTAAAACAAAATGTCTTCCTTCAGACAAATGTCCTGGAGCATTTCCCCAATATTTTCTTCTACGTGTTTCATAGGTTCAGGCCTTAGACTCACATCTTTAATCCATTTTCATTTGAGTTTTGTGTATAGTGACAGGTAGAGGTGCAGTTTCATTCCTCTGCATGTAGATGTCCAGGTTTCCCTGCACTGTTTATTGAAAAGACTGTCCTTTCCTGATTGTGAGTTCTTGGCACCTTTGTCAAAGTCCATTGGATGGGCTGGGCATGGTGGCTGACACCTGCAATTTCAGCACTTTGGGAGCCCAAGGCGGGTGGATCACCTGAGGCCAGGAGTTCAAGATTAGTCTGGCCGACGTGATGAAACATTGTCTCCACTAAAAATATAAAAATTAGCTGAGCATGGTGGTCAGCACCTGTAATACCACTACTCAGGAGTTTGAGGCCAGAGAATTGATTGAACCCAGGAGGCTGTGGTGGCAGTGAACCGAGATTGCACCTCTGCACTCCAGCCTGGGTGACAGAGCGAGACTCCATCTCAAAAGAAAAAAGAAAAAAACATTGGAGGTAAATGCATGGATTATATCTGTGTTCTTCATTCTGCTCCATTGTTCTACGTGCCTTTCTTTATGCCAATGTGATGCTGTTTTGCTTACTACAGCTCTGTAACATATTTTGAGATCAGGTAGTGTGATGCTCCTGTTTTCTCTTTATACCTTGAAGTCTCAAGACAGTGGGCGTCACATACAAAAATTACGGAAAAAAGGATCCCAGGACTCCCAGGGCCCAATATTAGATAACAGAGTGTTGGCCATGAACCAACCTCAAAGATTTCCATTGAGTAGAGGACAGACACCCTCATTTCCTCACCTCTCTCCTGTCTCGTGTTCTAGGAAACCCTTCAAATAGTTGGCCTTCACCCACTGAACCAAGCTCCGAAACCGGTGAGTACAGAACCCTCTTATATCCGCTTTTGGAAACCTGGGGAGGTAGAAACCTTCGATGCAGGCATTGACTCAGCATCTCGCAGCTCTGACATTGTACGCCTGTCTTCTACCATCTCCGAACTCCAGATACTCCAACAGCGAAAGGGATCTGGGCCCAACCTAGGGCTCAGTGAAATCTCTTAATCTCTCATTTTATGGAGCTGAGACCTCCTACAAGCTAGAAGAATGATTGCCAATCTGACATCCTTCTCAGGAAAAATGCAATGTTTGTTCTGCCTGCATTCCTAACTGGAGGATAAATTCCTGGGGGCTTGAGAGAGGGAAGGGAAGGGAACATCTGATGAGGGCGAGGTGTTTTAGAGAAGTTCCACTTGCCAAGGAATGAATTACTGTTGGTCATGAAGCAACCCTGGCTGACTCAGCAGAGCAACAGCCTTGCCGTAACAGAGAACGGAGCTCATGCACGCACACTTCGACTCACTGACTCATTCAGCCACGGCCCCATGCTCAGGCTGTGCAGTGCGGAACCTTTTCCTATTGTTGCCATAACAAATTTCCACAAGATTCGTGGGTGAAAACAAAACGGTTTTTTAATTATCTTACAGTGCTGTAGCTCAAAGTAGGAAGTGCATCTTACTGGGCTAAAATCAAGGTGACAGCAAGGCTGCCTTCCCTCTGAGGATTCCAGGCAAGAATCTGCTTCTCACTTATCCCAGCTTCTAAAGGCTCCCAGTTCCTTGGCTCCTGTTCCCCTTCCTCCTTCCTCAAAGCCCACAAAGACTGGTCACATCTCACATGGCATCACTCAGTGCCTTCTTCCTTACCACACCTCTTTCTCTGAATGCTGCTCTCCCTTCTTCCTTATCTTTTGAAAACTTGGGGATTCTATTGGGTTCACCAAGATGAAAATCCCTCATAATCTCCTGGAAATCATCCAGGATACCCTTGTTTTAAGTTCAGCTGATTAGCAACCGCAATTCCATCTACAATCTTCATTCCTCCTTTCCATGTAAAATAACATATTCACAAGCTATGGAGGCTAGGACAGGGACATTTTGGGGTGGGACAGCATTCTCCTGCCTTCCACAAACGGTGAACAAGATGCATTTGGCTTCTGCCCTTGGGACACTGATATTGCAGATGGTTAAATGGGAGGGCAGAAAATGAATGCACAAGTGGATCTATAAATGAATGATCCATTGGGAAGCATCTGTGCATGAAATCTATTTTTTGTTTGTTCTTTTGTTTATTGAGACAGAGTCGCCCTCTGTCTTCCAGGCTACAGTGCAGTGTCACGATCTTGGCTCACTGCAACCTGCGTCTCCTGGATTCAAGTGATTCTCCTGCCTCCGCCTCTCGAGTAGCTGGGATTACAGGCAACTGCCACCGTGCCCGGCTAATTCTTTTTGTATATTTTTTGTAGAGAGGATGTTTCACCACGTTGGCCAAGCTTGTCTGAAACTCCCAACCTCAAGTGATCCGACCGTCTCAGCATGCCAAAGTAATGGGACTACAGGCGTGAGCCACTGTGCCCAGCCAGAATTCAAAATCAATAATAGATAATGCTGAGTGTATGATTTCAGGTGACAAAGAAGGTCTCACTATTCAGATATTTGTGACATTAATGAAAAACACGGATTGAACCCCTGAAAGATTGGCGGAAGGATTTTGCACACACAGCTGTCAGCCGTGAAGGCACAAAGGTGAAAACAATCTGATGTGGAAGGAAGAGGCTCTGCCTCAAATGCTGGGAATGATGTGGGGAGAATGACAAGACGACTGTAGAGAGACGGAGAGCACACTGGGTACACAGGAAACTAAGGAGCAACAAGGAGTGTGTGTTTGACACTCACAGCCATTGGATTCACCTCGGGGTAACCAGGAATCCCTACATGATTAATATGACTGACATGAAAATAAGGGAGGCTCAGTTGCATAACTGGAATCTAGGAGACCGTGGAAAAGGCAATTGCCACCCCACTGGTGAAATGTGGTGCTGATTTAGACACTAAATGAATGAAGTAGATGGATATAAGATATGTTTGTGAGGTAGAATCATTGACTGGAAACGCTTACTGGGTTTGATTTTCCTACTTGTTTAATCCTCGCTTAATTAATTTCTTTCTGAGATTTATTCATCCTACACATAAATCAATACCTGGCAAAGGAGTGACAGATATATGAGTGGTGGTGGAAATGAAGAGACTTATTATAGCATAATATACAAGTCTGTGAACAGTGGCTCACGCCTGTAACCTAGCACTGCAGGAGGCCAAGGTGGGTGGATTCCATGAAGTCAGGAGTTCCAGACCAGCCTGGCCAACGTGGTGAAACCCTATCTCTACTAAAAATACAAAAATTAGCCGAGCACGATGGTGCATCCCTGTAATCCCAGCTCCTATTCTGGAGGATGAAGCAGGAGAATGACTTCAACCCAGTAGGTGGAGGTTGCAGTGAGTGGAGATTGCATCACTGCACTCCAGCCTGGGGGACACAAGGAGACTCTATCTCAAAAAATAAAAATAAGAAATACATAAATATAATAAAACACACACGAATGACAAAGGCACCTGAATTCCAATCATCGTTTTTCTATTTCTCTATAATTACTTCTTTGATCCTTTATCTTATCCATTAGGCAATGAGCTTAAAACCTCTTCCCTATTTGGCTTTCTGTGAGAATGAGATCACATAGAAAATGTGAAAGCCCTCAGAATCCTCCAGCACAGATCGTGGAATAGAGAAAGTGCTCTGTTCATCGCAACAAAAAACTTGCCCACTCACCCAAATCCCCCACCTCACCCCTACTTCCAATCACCTGTGGAGATTCAGATAGGCTATGGGGAGGTAAACATTGATACTCCTTGGAGTGAGTCCAGATCTTGGAATCAGAGATCAGTGCCAGCACTAGCTCCTGCTCCCCTTTCCTACTAATTCACAGGAGGACAGGTGGTATTGAAGCAATAGATGGCCGAGGGGGTGGTCCTTCCCCCAGCCTCTCGGGTAGAACAGCAGCCTAACATGTGTCTCCCGAGATCACAAAGAGTAGCACGTTTCACACGGGCTTCAACACTATTTCCTGGCCATTTGACATAAGAGAATTCTACTTAGCTTTTTTTATCTTGATTTCACTTTTGTTTCCTTTTCTTGGAGAATGCAAGTTGTTTGATTCAAGAATGCTGTGGATGTAGAAATCCTAAAGCACATTCGCTGTGTATCAATCCCAGTGCAGTCTTCCCAGAGAAGACTCTAAATACCTCCTGGACTGCACCTGGGCTTATGCCAATTCCTATCACTCACCGTCACTCCAGGGAGACAGAACACACAGAGAATACATTACACAGGCAGGTTCATTACTAACAGATAAGCAGCGAGTGACAACAGAAACCTACATTTCAATGTGAGCCAGTCCCTCAAGGCTCAGAAAAGCTACTCGGGACATATGGAGTCACCCCATTTGCAGTGTAGCTGGGGGAAGCCAGAGAGCAGCCCAGCCTGGGTTTTGTACTGTGGAGCCACAGGAAGCACTCAGCTAAAGCACTGCATGACGTCCTCCTCCAGGAAGAACAGGAAGACAGCCCAGGCTGTTCTGAGACGTTCCTCCTGATCTCAGGACGTTGCTGTCTTAGTCCATTTTTGTTGCTCTAAAGGAACACTTGAGCCTGGGTAACTTCTAGAGAAAAGAGATTGGTTTGCCTCACAGTTCTGCAGGCTGTACTGGAAGCGTGGCACCAGCATCTATTTCTCGTGACGGCCTCAGGCTGCTCCCACTCTGGCAGAAGGGAAGGAGGGTCTGTCTGTGCAGAGACCACAGAGATCACACGGCAAGAGAGGGAGCAAGGGGGAGGGGGAGCGATGGAGCTTCCAAGCTCTTTTGAACAACCAGCTCTCCAGGAACTAATAGAAGGGGAACTTGCTAACCCCGTCTCCTTGGGACAGCATTGGTCTGTTCATGATGGATCCACCTCCATGACCCAAACACCTCTCAAGAGGCCCAACCTCCCACAGTGGGGGTGAAATTTCAATGTGAGGTTTGAAGGGGTCAAACATCTCAACTAAAGTAGTTGTATCCTCAACACGTTCTATGGTTACTATGAGAGCTATAACTGAGAAAGCAGGAGAAAGCTGGGTCTCCCTCCATCTGGGTGCTTGTCCTAAAGGGGTGTTGTATGTGGTTACCTGTCAATCAAGAAATGTGAGACAATTCATAAAGAGGAACTGCTATGATTAGCTTCTTATTGGTGTCTCCTCTTCTTCCAGGTAACCCCAGACACCTGCATGTTCTGATTGGGACCTCAGTGGTCATCATCCTCTTCATCCTCCTCCTCTTCTTTCTCCTTCATCGCTGGTGCTGCAACAAAAAAAGTAAGTCTCACGAAGCAGAGGCCAGAGAGCTCAGGGCCATGTGGGGAAGCAGGATGGGAGCACTCAGGTGTGTGTTCCTCACAGACAGGATGGTCCCTGGCCCAAGGCAGCAGCCACAGAGGGAGGACTTTCTAGAGAGAGCACCAGACTCCCTGTCCCTGCCTTCAGCTCACAGACCATTGCCTGATTCTGAACTGTATCCTCATGTCCCCTGCAGCCACTCACATCCAGGAGAAGGTTCCATGACAGGCAGAAAGTGGGAGACAGAATCAATGGGATGGGAACTCAGAGCTATTCATGGGATGGGTCCTTGAGCTCAGAGAGATAGAATGTCTGAGTCTGCTGTTGGCAACTGAGGGACCTCAGCCACCTATGGTCTCCCCCTGTATGTTGGTATCTGCTTATGAAATGAGGGCCCAGAAGTGCCCTCTGAGCTGTTTTGTTGACTTCCGTCTTCTACAGATGCTGTTGTAATGGACCAAGAGCCTGCAGGGAACAGAACAGTGAACAGGGAGGTAGGTGCTCCTCGGCCCAGCCTCGTGGCTAGTGTTATTCCCAAAGAGTCCTGGAAAATGTGAGCACCCTCCCTCACTCAGCATTTCCCTCTCTCCAGGACTCTGATGAACAAGACCCTCAGGAGGTGACATATGCACAGTTGAATCACTGCGTTTTCACACAGAGAAAAATCACTCGCCCTTCTCAGAGGCCCAAGACACCCCCAACAGATATCATCGTGTACACGGAACTTCCAAATGCTGAGCCCTGATCCAAAGTTGTCTCCTGCCCATGAGCACCACAGTCAGGCCTTGAGGGGATCTTCTAGGGAGACAACAGCCCTGTCTCAAAACTGGGTTGCCAGCTCCAATGTACCAGCAGCTGGAATCTGAAGGCGTGAGTCTGCATCTTAGGGCATCGCTCTTCCTCACACCACAAATCTGAACGTGCCTCTCCCTTGCTTACAAATGTCTAAGGTCCCCACTGCCTGCTGGAGAGAAAACACACTCCTTTGCTTAGCCCACAATTCTCCATTTCACTTGACCCCTGCCCACCTCTCCAACCTAACTGGCTTACTTCCTAGTCTACTTGAGGCTGCAATCACACTGAGGAACTCACAATTCCAAACATACAAGAGGCTCCCTCTTAACACGGCACTTAGACACGTGCTGTTCCACCTTCCCTCATGCTGTTCCACCTCCCCTCAGACTAGCTTTCAGCCTTCTGTCAGCAGTAAAACTTATATATTTTTTAAAATAATTTCAATGTAGTTTTCCCTCCTTCAAATAAACATGTCTGCCCTCATGGTTTAGGTAATGGGACTCTTTTCTTGCCTAAGGCTTCCGGTGTTATCAGTACCATGTCCATATAATCCCATCTGTTCTCCACCGGGTTCTCACCTCTGGACTCTGAGCTTCTGGAAGCAGTGTGGAGCCTCATTTGTCTCTGGGACTCCAATTTCCATCCAAAGATGCAGCACATAGGAGGTTCCAAGGATCGGGAATCACATGAACAAGTGACATTGTTACTCTCTGCAGACCTGGAAAGCTGGCAGAGTCATTCCACGATGAAACATTTGTAGAGTCATAGGCCTTGTTAGTCTCATCTCCATGGGGACACATATCAACACATCATCTTTCATACTATAAATATACGGTCACTCCTCCGTATCTGTGGGGTTTACAGGTCTTTATTGAACAAAGTATAAATCAAAAATATTCAGAGAAAATATCCACAGAGTTCCAAAACTCATAACTATGTTGAATGGACACAAATGAAGCTGTGTGTAGGCTGTATCAGGAATTATAAGTAATCAAGAGATGATTTCATGTATACAGGAGGATGTGCATATGTTATTTGCAAGCGCTGTGCCATTTCATATAAGAGGCTTGAGCATCTACAGATTTTGGTATCTGAGTGGAGATCTCGAAACCAATCACCCACGAATAGTGAAGGATGACCGTATATGACTTTTATTTCTCAAATTTAAATATAAATCAAAAAATGTACAACTAGATAAAAACTAAGAAGTGTTTTTATAGTGTGAGTTAGATTTATTTTTTACTAGGTGTAACCCATTGGTTTAATATTATTTATTGAGAAGACATTCTATGCCACCTTAAACCACACGGCAGCCTTTGTCAACTCTAAAGGGACTGTGTGTACATGGATGTATTTTAGACAGTTTCTGCTAAGGGGCTGTCTGTGTCCACACACTTGATGATGCTACACTTTATGTAGCCTTATAGAACCCTTTAAATTTAGTAGCCAGAGCCCTCTAATTTGTTATTATAGGCTATTTGCTTTTTTTTTTCTTGAGGCGGAGTCTTGCTCTGTCGCCCAGGCTGGACTGCAGTGACACAATCTCAGCTCACTGCAACCTCCGCCTCCCAGGTTCAAGCGATTCTCGTGCCTCAGCCTCTTGAGTAGCTGGCGTTACAGGTGCCTGCCACCAGGCATGGCTAATTTTTGGATTTTTAGCAGAGACACGGTTTCACTATGTTGGCCAGGCTGCTCTCAATCCCCTCATCTCAGTTGATCCGCCCACCTCGGCTTCCCGACGTGCTGGGGAAACTTGATTTTCTATAGCATTATGTTACTGGATATTTCTGTAAAATTTAAAATGAGGGAGGCAGAGAGACAGAGAGAGATCAAACTCCAGAGTTGGGACTCTGGAATCTTGGGTCATGAGACAAATTTTAGATTAAACTACAAAACTCCAGAATTTACAGGTGTGGTTTTTGCTGATAAAGTACAATTCTAAGATTGTAAATAATTGCATAATCCTTCCCTGGGAATTTAAATCATTTTAACTGGTTCTGCTGTAATACTAGAAATACAAGCATGAAAAATTCTAATGGTTTATTAGTCACAATGACTCTGAAAACCTTAATAATACCTATTAAATATTTTGCATATTACACATGAAGAAGAGTTTGAATCTCAGATAAAAACAATAAAAATACATGAAAAGTCTTTCACGTTAGCACAGATTTTAGGCATCTCGTGTTCAGGAGGTTGGATCTGAGACGTGTTTTGAGTTGGTCATAGTGAAGGACGCTAGGTGTAAATTCTAGTGAGAACAATTTCCAGGAAGCCGTGTTCCGCTCTTGAGCGAGCACCCACTGGGCCTCATGCAAGGTAGAATGAGCCTGCGTACGTCACCCTCCCATGATGTGGTCAACATGTAAACTGCATGGGCAGGGCGCCAAATAACATCCTGTGCGCTGCTGAGCTGAGCTGGGGCACGGCCGCCTGTCTGCACCGGCAGCACCATGTCGCTCACGGTCGTCAGCATGGCGTGTGTTGGTGAGTCCTGGAAGGGAATAGAGGAAGGGAGTGTGGGGTTGGAGATCTGGGCCCAGAGGTGGAGATATAGGCCTGGAGGTGGAGTTGTGGGCCTGGAGTGGAGATCTGGGCCTGGAGTGGATATATGGGCCTAGAGATGGAGTGATGGGCCTAGAAGTGGAGATCTGGGCCTGGAGTGCCGATAGGAACCTGGAGGGGAGATAGGAGCCTGGAGTGGAGATATGGGCCTGGAGGTGGAGTTATAGGCCTATAGTAGAGATATGGGCCTGGAGTGGAGATTTGGGCCAGGAGTGGAGATATGGGCCTAGAGGTGGATATCTGGGCCTAGAGTGGAAATATGGGCCTAGGATGGAGATATGGGCCTGGTTGTGGAGATATGGGACTGGAGAGGAGATATGGGCCTAGAGTGGAGATATGGGCTTGGGGTGGAGATCTGGGCCTGGGGTGGAGATATGGGCCTGGAGGTGGAGTTACGGGCCTTCAGTAGAGATATGGGCCTGGGGTGGAGATATGGGCTTGGGGTGGAGATCTGGGCCTGGAGTGGAGATATGGGCCTGGAGGTGGAGTTACTGGCCTTCAGTAGAGATATGGGCCTGGTGTGGAGATATGGGCCTGGATTGGAGATATGGGCCTAGGTTGGAGATCTGAGCCTGGAGTGGAGATATGGGCCTGGATTGGAGATATGGGCTTACAGTGGAGATCTTGGCCTGGATTGGCGATATGGGCCTGGATTGGCGATATGGGCCTATGATGGAAATATCGGCCTGGAGTGGAGATATGGGCCTGGAGTGGAGATACAGGCCTAGGGTGGAAATATTGGCCTGGAGTGGAGATATGGGCTTGTGGTGGGGATATGGGCTTGTGGTGGGGATCTGGGCTTGGAGGCTGGGTCTCTGCACAGCCGACAGCCCTGTTCTTGGGTGCAGGTAGGCACTGAGGGTGAGTTTAACTTCAGTCCAGGAAGGGCCTGCCTACCAAGACTCACAGCCCAGTGAGGGCAGCAAGGGAGGGCTGGTTTGCCTGCAGATGGATCGTCCATCATGATCTTTCTTTCCAGGGTTCTTCTTGCTGCAGGGGGCCTGGCCACATGAGGGTGAGTCCTTCTCCAAACCTTAGGGTGTCATCTCCCCACATAAGAGGATTTTCCTGAAACAGGAGGGAAGTCCTGTCAGGGAGCCTCTCATAAACTAGGAAGAGGGGACCCTGGGGTGCTCGGCCCACAGTTCCGACCTCGCCTCCCTGGCCTTTCATTCCCTTGGCAGAGTCAAGTTCTGTGGGGACCAGGGTTAGACTGGGGTGCTCAAAGCTGGGGTGCGTGGTGGGGAAGTGGTAGGAACAGCAGATCCTCTGAGGACAAAGGTGTTACTCACACTTCAGCGTTTCCATGACGGTAGGGGCTGCAGTGTGGCTGCTGTCACTCCACCAGAAGAGGTGGGAAACCACAGCCATGGCCCTGACATTCCAAATCCTCTGATGGGGGCTCAGTTGCTTATTTTCATTCAGGCATCTGCTGATATTCCATTCTCAAAGACATGCCCTCCACCCCATGTCTACCCTGTGTTGTTTTATGTGAGTAATCTTACAGTATTAAAATCTAGTAGGAGTCTCTTACTCAGCACTTGCTCAAAGTTCTCAGCTGACACTTTTGTTGTAGGGAGACACCTTGTGTTTGCGGGATGGGTCCTTCCTTTAGCCCTGGGCACCAAGGTGTGATAGCAGCCATAGAAACTTGGAAAGCGAGGAGAATCTTCAGAGCACAGGGAGGGAGGGGTGGCTCCACATCCTCCTCTCTAAGGCGGTGCCTCCTTCTCCCCAAGGTGGTCAGGACAAGCCCTTGCTGTCTGCCTGGCCCAGCTCTGTGGTGCCTCCAGGACATGTGATTCTTCGGTGTCATTCTTATCTTGGGTTTAACAACTTCAGTCTGTAAAAGGAAGATGGGGTGCCTGGCACTGAGCTCTACAACAGAATATTCTGGAAGAGCCTTTTCATGGGCCCTGTGACCCCAGCACACACAGGGACGTACAGATGTCGGGGTTCACACCCACACTACCCCAGTGGGTGGTCGGCACCCAGCAACACCCTGGTGATCATGGCCACAGGTCAGAGGGCTCCTGTCTTGGATTCTCCTTTCCCACCTCCTGAATCCCAGAGCTTCTGGTGGGCGTGTCCTTGAGGGTCCCATCACCCAGGCCCTGACTATATTTGGGGTAAAGGGGGATTGAATACAGGGAAATGGGTGCTGTGGTGGGAAGAATAATTGTCCCCAGTGATGACTACATTCTAATCCCTGGAGTCTGTGACTATTTATGTTATAGGGGAAGGAACTGAAGGGGAAGATGGAGCTCAGGTTGTTGATGAGTTGACCTTGAGATGGGGAGACAGCCTGGACTGTCCCGCTGGGCTCAGTGTAATCACAAGGGTCCACATGAAAGGAGGAGGAAGAGGGGAGTGGGGATTAGAGCAGCGCAATGGGAGACTCCACCAGCTTTGAAGGTGGAGGAAGGCCAGGAGCCATGAATGCAGGTGGCCTGTAGAGGTTGGAAAAGTCAAGGAAATGATTCTCCAGAGTCTCCAGAGGGAACGAAGCCCTGCAGATGCCTTGATTTTAGCCCAGGAAAAACAGGGTCCTATTTCTGTCTCCAGTAGTGAAATGGGTCAGTGTGCTCTCTCCTGCTGCCATGCTTCTGATAATTTTCTACAGCAGCAACAGGAAACCAACACTGGAACCCAGGTCAAGGACAAGGTAAGAAACAACACAAGGATAGCCGGGTGTGGTGGCAGGCGCATGTAATCCTAGCGACTTGGGAGGCTGAGGGCAGGAGAATCACTTGAACCCAGGAGACAGAGGTTGCAGTGACCCTAGACCACACCACTTCACTCCAGCTGGGGTGAAGGAGTGAGACTCTGTCTCCATAATTAATTAATTAATTAAAGGAACCAAACAAGGGGAAGGTTGGCTACACCGAGATGAGCAAGTGTGGGATGATGATGCCACCACCAGGCTCCATCCACATAGGGAGGGGTTGATACTCCTCAAACCAGCACCAGGAGCCAGCCTATGGAAGCTGGCACCATGGAGAAGGCACAGGCATGGCAAGAGTGGCTCCCAGTCCCGACCAGGAACAGGGTGTGTGGACACTGGTGCCTGCCTTATTCATCAGTTCATACCTACTGCCAAGGATTCCAATTCATCCAAAAGAGATTGAACCAGGCTGATAAGAGGCTGGATGTGCAGCCTATCCTGGTTCCTCTTTCACCCCCACATAAACAGCAGGAAAGACATTAGTGTGAAATAGATACAACACCCCAAGAGATGAGGCTAAGCCCAGTGGGAAGGGAATCAGAGGCGACTAGAGACAGAGGGACAGAGAAGAGGGAGGGAGACAGATGGAAGGACCTGCACCAGGAGTTATGGGCACAGAAAAGAACATGAAGACACAGAGAGGAAGGAGAGAGACAGACACCAGCAAGGGGAAGCCTCACTCATTCTAGGTGCCATGGATGGGATGATAAAGAGAGACACCTTCTAAACTCACAACCTCTCTTCCTAGGAGTCCACAGAAAACCTTCCCTCCTGGCCCACCCAGGTCCCCTGGTGAAATCAGAAGAGACAGTCATCCTGCAATGTTGGTCAGATGTCAGGTTTCAGCACTTCCTTCTGCACAGAGAAGGGAAGTTTAACGACACTTTGCACCTCACTGGAGAGCACCATGATGGGGTTTCCAAGGCCAACTTCTCCATCGGTCCCATGATGGAAGACCTGGCAGGGACCTACAGATGCTACGGTTCTGTTACTCACTCCCCCATCAGTTGTCAGCTCCCAGTGACCCTCTGGACATCGTCATCACAGGTGAGAGTGTCCGGACATTCTTCTCATTGTCATTGGGATGCAGAGTGAATGATCCACGACTTGGAACCCCCAGGTAGTTGTAAGGAAGATGAGCTTGGTATTCTTATGGAGAGAGACTGACTTGGTGAGGTCTGTACCAACAGAGACAGAGAAACAGGAGACACAAGTACAGACCAGGTGTCATAACAGAGGACAGACACAGGGGCCATACCGGGAGTTAGAAAAGACAGAAGGAGTTAAAGGAGACAGACAGACAGACATGTCCCAGAGAGAGGTGTCCCTCCATGCTGACTTTGCTCAGAGACCTGGCACAGGTTAGAAGTTTCATTTCTGTTTTACCTCCACAAAGTGTTCTCTACCAGGAGAACCCAAGGACACCCATATTTCTGACCTGAGTTGGGCCCTGTGGCCTCAGGCCTTGTGGCACCTACAGATGCCGTGTTTATTCTGACACCTCTGCCTTCCATGTAATGGAGAGTAACCGTCCCAGGATATCATGGCCCCAGAACACCAACTCCTGTATGCTGTGTGAACTTGTGGTCTCCAGACTGGATTCTGAGGCTCACATTCCAAATAACCCCACATATGAAAGGATCACTGAGAGGCACAGAGAGAAATCAGGGACACCAAAAAGCAAAGACATAAACACACAGAGAATGAGCCAGAGGAAGGAGATTGAGAGACTCACAGACACATAAAGAGAGAGAAAAGAGGGCAGAGGAGTGGTGAGAATGATGGAAGGGAGCAGAGAAAAGCACTAAAATTAGACTCCTGAGGGAGAGGCACAAGGACATAGAAAGATGGAGATGTGGGGATGAATTGCAGAGATTCCAAAGAGAACTAGAGAGACCGAGAGGCAGAGCAAGACAGATGATAGATGGATAGATATAGATAGATGATAAATAGGTAGATGATAGATAATAGGTTAAAGATACATAGATGATGATTGATTGATTCATTAATAGATGAGACATAGAGATGATGATGATGAAGACAGATAGATAATACATAGAGATAGAGAGGCAGACAGAAGTCATAGAGAGAGAGATGATACATAGATATAGATAACAGATGATTGATGGATAGATAGACAAGTGATAGATACATAGATGATATATAGATATAGATGACAGGTAGAGAATTTGTAGATAGGCACCGAATAGATAAATAGATAGATCGATAGATAATAGATAGAAATATGCAGAAAGTTATGAACAGGACACAAAGTGAGAAACTTAGAATTTAAAAAAGTAACATCAAGTCAACCAATCCAAGGAGAGTCAGAGAGAATAAAACAATCCAAAAAGGGAAAACATATCTAGAGGTGTGGAAGCGAGGTCAGAGACCTAGAGAGACAGAGAAGGTGGAAGGAGGAAATAGACATGAAGAGAGATGGGGTGGAGGGTGAGAGAGAGAGAGAGAGAGAGCATTAGGTCATAGAGCAGGGGAGTGAGTTCTCAGCTCAGGTGAAGGGAGCTGTGACAAGGAAGATCCTCCGTAAGGAAAATGCCTCTTCTCCTTCCAGGTCTATATGAGAAACCTTCTCTCTCAGCCCAGCCGGGCCCCACGGTTCTGGCAGGAGAGAGCGTGACCTTGTCCTGCAGCTCCCGGAGCTCCTATGACATGTACCATCTATCCAGGGAGGGGGAGGCCCATGAACGTAGGTTCTCTGCAGGGCCCAAGGTCAACGGAACATTCCAGGCTGACTTTCCTCTGGGCCCTGCCACCCACGGAGGAACCTACAGATGCTTCGGCTCTTTCCGTGACTCTCCCTACGAGTGGTCAAACTCGAGTGACCCACTGCTTGTTTCTGTCACAGGTGAGGAAAGCCCATGGCTGTCCCATGTCCTATGATCCTAGAGCCTTAGCTGAGGAGCTTCCTGCTGAGGATGGAGAGAAGGATGAACAGATGCAGAGAGAAGACGAAGCTTGGGTGTGAGGGAGGGATCAGGGCACAGGATGGCAGACAGGGCACCTCCAAACCCTCCTACATGGCCTGCATGAAGGCCTGCGGCCAGGACTCCAGGCACCCAGGCAGATGGAGAAAGCGGTCAGGAGAGACCCAGAGGAGGGAGACTGGGCTCAGTTTGGGAAGATCAGAGGTTCCCTCAGCCCCTCAACATTACCCATTTCCCAGAAGCCCATCCTGGCCTCCCACCCACACAGGGATGTCATCACCTGCAACCCCTACACCCTTTACTTTTGTTTGAGAAATATTTATTGAGGATAAATATACCTATATAGCTTACCACCTTTAACATTTTTTTTTTGAGGCGGAGTCTAGCTCTGTCCCCTATGCTGGAGTGCATTGGCACAATCTCAGCTCACTGCAACTTCCGCCTCCTGGGTTCAAGCGATTCTCTTGCCTCAGCCACCTGAGTAGCTGGTGCTACAGGCGCGCACCACCATGCCAGGCTACTTTTTGTATTTTTAGTAGAGAGGGGGTTTCACCATGTTGGTCAAGCTGGTCTCGAACTCCTGACCACGTGATCCACCCGCATCAGCCTCCCAAAGTGCTGGGATTACAGGCATGAGCCACCACGCCCAGCCACATTTACCATTTTTAAGTGTAAAGTCTAGTGGTCATAAATACATTAATATATATATATATACACATATTTTTTTTTACCCTCCACCCTTTTCTTCCTGGCCTCTGGTAGCCACCATTCTACTCTCTACCTTCATGAGATCCACCTTTTAGCTCCTGTATATGGGTAAGAAATGGGAATCTTTGTAATGACCTCCAGTTCCATCCATGTGGCTGCAAATATCAGGATGTTTTTCTTTCTATGGAAGAGTAGTCTCCACTATGCAAATGTACCACATTCTCTCTATCCATTCACCCACTGATGGGCAGGTAGGTTGACTCCTCATCTTGGCTACTGTGAAGAGTGCTGCACCAATCATACGAGTGCAGATATCACTTCGATATATTGATTTACTTTCCTTTGGATATAAACCCAGTAGTGAAATTGCTGGATACTATGAAAGTTCTCTTTTTAGTTTTTCGTTTGTTGTTTTGTTTTTGTTTTTGAGACAGTTTCCCTCTGTGCCCAGGCTGGAGTACAAGTGATGTCATCTTGGCTCATTGCAACCTCTGCCTCCTGGGTTCAAATGATTTTCCTGCCTCAGCCTCCCTAGTATCAGGGATTATAGGCGCACGCCACCATGCCTGGCTACTTTTTGTTTTTTTTAGTATAGATGCGGTTTCCCCATGTTGGCTGGGCTGCTCTCAAACTCATGACCTCAACTGAGGTGCCCGCCTCGGTCTCCCAAAGTGCCGGGATTACAGGCATGATCCACCTCACCCAACCTCTTTTTAGTTCTTTAAAGGACTTCCACACTTTTCTCCGTAATGGCTGTACTAATTTACACTCCTACCAACAGGATACCAGGATTCTCCTTTCTCTAACACCTTGCCAGCATTTCTTTTGCCTGTCTTGCAGCTAAAAGCCATTTTATTTTATTTCATTTTATTTTGAGATGGAGTTTCGCTCTTGTCACCCAGGCTGAGTGCAGTGGTGCGATCTCGGCTCACCACAACCTCCACCTCCCAGGTTCAAGCGATTCTCCTGCCTCAGCCTCCCGAGTAGCTGGAATTACAGGCACACGCCACCACGCCCGACTAATTTTTGTATTTTTAGTAGAGACAGTGTTTCTCCATGTGGGTCAGACTGGTCTCAAACTCCCGACCTTATGAGATTCACCCACCTCAGGCTCTCAAAGTTCTAGGATGACAGACGTGAGCCACCACGCCCGGCCTAAAAGCCATTTTAATGGGGTGAGATGAAAACTCACTTTGATTTTAATTTGTGTTTCTCTGATGATGAGTGATACTGAGCACTTTTTCGTATGTGGGGAAATTTCATGTCTTTTGCTCCTGTTTCAATTAAATCATTTGTTTTATTGAGTTGTTTGAGCTTCTTATATTTCTAGTTATTAATCCCATCTCAGATGCATAGTTTGCACATATTTGCTCCCAATCTGTGGGTTGTCTCTTCACTTTGTTGGTTTATTTTTAGCGGTGCAGAAGTTGCTTAGTTTGAGGTAATCCCAATGGTCTATTTTTGCTTCGATTACTTGTGTTTTGAAGGTTTAAAACAAAATGTCTTCCTTCAGACAAACGTCCTGGAGCATTTCCCCAATATTTTCTTCTACGTGTTTCATAGGTTCAGGCCTTAGACTCACATCTTTAATCCATTTTCATTTGATTTTTGTGTATAGTGACAGGCAGAGGTGCAGTTTCATTCCTCTGCATGTCGATGTCCAGGTTTCCCTGCACTGTTTATTGAAAAGACTGTCCTTTCCTGATTGTGAGTTCTTGGCACCTTTGTCAAAGTCCATTGGATGGGCTGGGCATGGTGGCTGACACCTGCAATTTCAGCACTTTGGGAGCCCGAGGTGGGTGGATCACCTGAGGCCAAGAGTTCAAGATTAGTCTGGCCAACGTGATGAAACATCGTCTCCACTAAAAATATAAAAATTAGCTGAGCATGGTGGTCAGCACCTGTAATACCACTACTCAGGAGTTTGAGGCAAGAGAAGTGATTGAACCCAGGAGGCTGTGGTGGCAGTGAACCGAGATTGCACCTCTGCACTCCAGCCTGGGTGACAGAGCAAGACTCCATCTCAAAAGAAAAACAAAAAATACATTGGAGGTAAATGCATGGATTATATCTGTGTTATTCATTCTGCTCCGTTGTTCTATGTGCCTTTCTTCATGCCAACGTCATGCTGTCTTGCTTACTACAGCTCTGTAACATATTTTGAGATCAGGTAGTGTGATGCTCCTGTTTTCTCTTTATACCTTGAAGTCTCAAGACAGTAGCCGTCACATACAAAAATTACGGAAAAAAGGATCCCAGGACTCCCAGGGCCCAATATTAGATAACAGAGTGTTGGCCATGAACCAACCTCAAAGATTTCCACTGAGTAGAGGACAGACACCCTCATTTCCTCACCTCTCTCCTGTCTCATGTTCTAGGAAACCCTTCAAATAGTTGGCCTTCACCCACTGAACCAAGCTCCAAAACCGGTGAGTACAGAACCCTCTTATATCCGCTTTTGGAAACCTGGGGAGGTGGAAACCTTGGATTCAGGCGTTGACTCAGCATCTCACAGCTCTGACATTGTACGCCTGTCTTCTACCATCTCCAAACTCCAGATACTCCAACAGCGAAAGGGATCTGGACCCAAAACAGGGCTCTGTGAAATCTCTTAATCTCTCATTTTATGGAGCTGAGATCTCCTACAAGCTAGAAAAATGATTGGCAATCTGACATCCTTCTCAGGAAAAATGCAATGTTTGTTCTGCCTGCATTCCTAACTGGAGGATAAATTCCTGGGGGCTTGAGAGAGGGAAGGGTAGGGAACATTTGATGAGGGCGAGGTGTTTTAGAGAAGTTCCACTTGCCCAGGAATGAATTACTGTTGGTCATGAAGCAACCCTGGCTGACTCAGCAGAGCAAGAGCTTTGCCTTAACAGAGAACGGAGCTCATGCACGCACACTTCGACTCACTGACTCATTCAGCCACGGCCCCATGCTCAGGCCGTGGAAAAGGCAATTCCCAGCACTGCAGGAGGCCAAGGCGGGTGGATCACTTGAAGTCAGGAGTTCCAGACCAGCCTGGCCAAAATGGTGAAACCCTGTCTCTATGAAAAATACAAAAATTAGCCGAGCATGGTGGTGCATCCCTGTAATCCCAGCTCCTACTCTTGAGGATGAAGCAGGAGAACGACTTCAACCCAGGAGGTGGAGGTTGCAGTGAGTGGAGATTGCATCACTGCACTCCAGCCTGGGTGACACAAGGAGACTCCGTCTCAAAAAATAAAAATAAGAAATGCATAAATATAATAAAACACACACGAATGACAAAGGCACCTGAATTCCAATCATCATTTTTGTATTTCTCTATAATTACTTCTTTGATCCTTTGTCTTATCCATTAGGCAATGAGCCTAAAACCTCTTCCGTATTTGGCTTTCTGTGAGCATGAGACCATATAGAAAATGTGAAAGCCCGCTGAATCCTCCAGCACAGATCGTGGAATAGAGAAAGTGCTCTGTTCATCACAAAAAAAACTTGCCCTCTCACTCAAATCCCCCACTTCACCCCTACTTCCAATCACCTGTGGAGATTCAGATAGACCATGGGGAGGTAAACATTAATACTCCTTGGAGTGAGTCCAGATCTTGGAATGAGAGATCAGCACCAGCACTAGCTCCTGCTCCCCTTTCCTACTAATTCACAGGAGGACAGGTGGTATTGAAGCAATAGATGGTGGAGGGGGTGGTCCTTCCCCCAGCCTCTCAGGTAGAACAGCAGCCTAACATGTGTCTCCCGAGATCACAAAGAGTAGGACGTTTCACAGGGGCTTCAACACGATTTCCTGGCTGTTGGACATAAGATAACTCTATTTCGCTTTTTTATCTTGATTTCACTTTTGTTTCCTTTCCTTGGAGAACGCAAGTTGTTTGACTCAAGAATGCTGTGGATGTAGAAATCCTAAAGCACATTCGCTGTGTGTCAATCCCAGTGCAGTCTTCCCAGAAAAGACCCTAAACACCTCCTAGACTGCACCTGGGCCTACGCCAATTCCTATCACTCACCGTCACTCCAGGGAGACAGAACACACAGAGAATACGTTACATAGGCAGGTTCATTACTAACAGATAAGCAGCGAGTGAAAACAGAAGCCTACATTTCAATGTGAGCCAGTCCCTCAAGGCTCAGAAAAGCTGCTCGGGACATATGGAGTCACCCCATTTGCAGTGTAGCTGGGGGAAGCCAGAAAGCAGCCCAGCCTGGGTTTTGTACCCTGGAGCCACAGGAAGCACTCAGCTAAAGCACTGCATGACGTCCTCCTCCAGGAAGAACAGGAAGACAGCCCAGGCTGCTCTGGGACGTTCCTCCTGATCTCAGGACGTTGCTGTCTTAGTCCATTTTTGTTGCTCTAAAGGAACACTTGAGCCTGGGCAACTTCTAAAGAAAAGAGATTGGTTTGCCTCACCGTTCTGCAGGCTGTACTGGAAGCATGGCACCAGCATCTATTTCTCGTGATGGCCTCAGGCTGCTCCCACTCTGGCAGAAGGGAAGGAGGGTCTGTCTGTGCAGAGACCACAGAGATCACACGGCAAGAGAGGGAGCAAGGGGGAGGGGGAGCGATGGAGCTTCCAAGTTCTTTTGAACAACCAGCTCTCCAGGAACTAATAGAGGGGGAACTAGCTAACCCCGTCTCCTTGGGACAGCATTGATCTGTTCATGATGGATCCACCTCCATGACCCAAACACCTCTCAAGAGGCCCAACCTCCCACAATGGGGGTGAAATTTCAATGTGAGGTTTGAAGGGGTCAAACATCTCAACTAAAGTAGTTGTGTCCTCAGCACATTCTATGGTTACTTTGAGAGCTATAACTGAGAAAGCAGGAGAAAGCTGGGTCTCCCGCCATCTGGGTGCTTGTCCTAAAGAGGTGTTTTACGTGGTTACCTGTCAATCAAGAAATGCGAGACAATTCATAAAGAGGAACTGCTATGATTAGCTTCTTATTGGTGTCTCATCTTCTTCCAGGTAACCCAAGACACCTGCACGTTCTGATTGGGACCTCAGTGGTCATCATCCTCTTCATCCTCCTCCTCTTCTTTCTCCTTCATCGCTGGTGCTCCAACAAGAAAAGTAAGTCTCACGAAGGAGAGGCCAGAGAGCTCAGGGCCATGTGGGGAAGCAGGATGGGAGCACTCAGGTGTGTGTTCCTCACAGGTAGGATGGTCCCTGGCCCAAGGCAGCAGCCACAGAGGCAGGACTTTCTAGAGAGGGCACCAGACTCCCTGTCCCTGCTTTCAGCTCACAGACCGTTGCCTGATTCTGAACTGTATCCTCATGTCCCCTGCAGCCACTCACATCCAGGAGAAGGTTCCATGACAGGCAGAAAGTGGGAGACAGAATCAATGGGATGGGAACTCAGAGCTATTCATGGGATGGGTCCTTGAGCTCAGAGAGATAGAATGTCTGAGTCTGCTGTTGGCAACTGAGGGACCTCAGGCACCTATGGCCTCCCCCTGTTTGTTGGTATCTGCTTATGAAATGAGGACCCAGAAGTGCCCTCCGAGCTCTTTTGTTGACTTCCGTCTCCTACACATGCTGCTGTAATGGACCAAGAGCCTGCAGGGAACAGAACAGCGAATAGCGAGGTAGGTGCTCCTCGGCCCAGCCTCGTGGCTAGTGTTATTCCCAAACAGTCCTGGAAAACGTGAGCACCCTCCCTCACTCAGGATTTCCCTCTCTCCAGGACTCTGATGAACAAGACCCTCAGGAGGTGACATACGTACAGTTGGATCACTGCGTTTTCACACAGAGAAAAATCACTCGCCCTTCTCAGAGGCCCAAGACACCCCCAACAGATACCAGAGTGTACACGGAACTTCCAAATGCTGAGTCCAGATCCAAAGTTGTCTCCTGCCCATGAGCACCACAGTCAGGCCTTGAGGGGATCTTCTAGGGAGACAACAGCCCTGTCTCAAAACCGGGTTGCCAGCTCCCATGTACCAGCAGCTGGAATCTGAAGGCGTGAGTCTGCATCTTAGGGCATCGCTCTTCCTCACACCACAAATCTGAATGTGCCTCTCTCTTGCTTACAAATGTCTAAGGTCCCCACTGCCTGCTGGAGAAAAAACACACTCCTTTGCTTAGCCCACAATTCTCCATTTCACTTGACCCCTGCCCACCTCTCCAACCTTACTGGCTTACTTCCTAGTCTACTTGAGGCTGCAATCACACTGAGGAACTCACAGTTCCAAACATACAAGAGGCTCCCTCTTAACACGGCACTTAGACACGTCCTGTTCCACCTTCCCTCATGCTGTTCCACCTCCCCTCAGAGTATCTTTCAGCCTTCTGTCAGCAGTAAAACTTATATATTTTTTAAAATAATTTCAATGTAGTTTTCCCTCCTTCAAATAAACATGTCTGCCCTCATGGTTTCGGTAATGGGACTCTTTTCTTGCCTAAGACTTCCATTATCATTACCATGTCCACATAACCCCATCTGTTCTCCACTGGGTTCTCACCCCCGGACTCTGAGTTTCTGGAAGCAGGGTGGAGCCTCATTTGTCTCTGGGACTCCTATTTCCATCCAAAGATGTAGCACATAGGAGGTTCCAAGGATCGTGAATCACATGAACAAGTGATATTCTTACTCTCTGCAGACCTGGAAATCTGGCAGAGTCATTCCAAGATGAAACATTTGTAGAATCATAGGCCTTGTTAGTCTCATCTACACAGGGACACATATCAACACATCATCTTTCACACTATAAATATACAGTCACTCCTCCATATCTGTGGGGTTTACAGTTCTTTATTGAACCGAGTATAAATCAAAAATATTCAGAGAAAGTATCCACAGAGTTACAAAAAGCAGAACTGTGTTGAATGGACACAAATGAAGCTGTGTGTAGGCTGCATCAGGAATTATAAGTAATCTAGAGATGATTTCATGTATACAGGAGGATGTGCATAGGTTATTTGCAAACTCTGTGCCATTTCATATAAGAGGCTTGAGCATCTACAGATTTTGGTATCTGAGTGGAGATCTCGAAACCAATCACCCACGAATAGTGAAGGATGACCGTATATGACTTTTATTTCTCAAATTTAAATATAAATCATAAAAAATGTACAACTAGATAAAAACTAAGAAGTGTTTTTATAGTGTGAGTTAGATTTATTTTTTCCTAGGTATAACCCATTGGTTTAATATTATTTATTGAGAAGACATTCTATGCCACCTTAAACCACACGGCAGCCTTTGTCAACTCTAAAGGGACTGTGTGTACACGGATGTACTTTAGACACTGTTTCTGCTAAGGGGCTCTCTGTGTCCACACTCTTGATGATGCTGCACTTTATGTAGCCTTATAGAACCCTTTAAATTTAGTAGCCAGAGCTCTCTAATTTGTTATTATAGGCTATTTGCTTTTTTTTCTTGAGGCGGAGTCTTGCTCTGTCGCCCAGGCTGGACTGCAGTGACACAATCTCAGCTCACTGCAACTTCTGCCTCCCAGGTTCAAGCGATTCTCATGCCTCAGCCTCTTGAGTAGCTGGCGTTACAGGTGCCTGCCACCAGGCACGGCTAATTTTTGGATTTTTAGCAGAGACACGGTTTCACTATATTGGCCAGGCTGCTCTCAAACTCCTTATCTCAGTTGATCCGCCCACCTCGGCTTCCCAACGTGCTGGGGAAACTTGATTTTCTATAGCATTATGTTACTGGATATTTCTGTAAAATTTAAAATGAGGGAGGGAGAGAGACAGACGGAAAACAAACTCCAGAGTTGGGACTCTGGAATCTTGGGTCATGAGACAAATTTTAGATTAAACTACAAAACTCCAGAATTTACAGGTGGGGTTTTTACTGATAAAGTACAATTCTAAGATTGTAAATAATTGCATAATCCTTCCCTGGGAATTTAAATCATTTTAACTGGTTCTGCTGTAATACTAGAAATACAAGCATGAAAAATTCTAATGGTTTATTAGTGACAATGACTCTGAAAACATTAATAATACCTATTAGATATTTTGCATATTACACAGGAAGAAGAGTTTGAATCTCAGATAAAAACAATAGAAATACATGAAAAGTCTTTCATGTTAGCACAGATTTTAGGCATCTCGTGTTCGGGAGGTTGGATCTCAGACGTGTTTTGAGTTGGTCATAGTGAAGGACACTAGGTGTCAAATTCTAGCGAGAACAATTTCCAGGAAGCCGTGTTCCGCTCTTGAGCGAGCACCCACTGGGCCTCATGCAAGGTAGAAAGAGCCTGCGTACGTCACCCTCCCATGATGTGGTCAACATGTAAACTGCATGGGCAGGGCGCCAAATAACATCCTGTGCGCTGCTGAGCTGAGCTCGGTCGCGGCTGCCTGTCTGCTCCGGCAGCACCATGTCGCTCTTGGTCGTCAGCATGGCGTGTGTTGGTGAGTCCTGGAAAGCAATAGAGGGAGGGAGTGAGGGGATGGAGATCTGGGCCCAGAGGTGGAGATATAGGCCTGGAGGTGGAGTTATGGGCCTGGAGTGGAGATCTGGGCCTGGAGTGGATATATGGGCCTAGAGATGGAGTGATGGGCCTAGAAGTGGAGATCTGGGCCCAGAGGTCGAGATATAGGCCTGGAGGTGGAGTGATGGGACTGTAGTGGAGATCTGGGCCTGGAGTGGAGATAGGAACCTGGAGGGGAGATAGGAACCTGGAGGGGAGATATGGGCCTGGAGGTGGAGATATGGGCCTGGAGTGGAGTCATGGGCCTGGAGGTGGAGTTATGGGCCTGCAGTAGAGATATGGGCCTGAAGTGGAGACATGGGCCTGGAGTGGAGATATGGGCCAGGAGTGGAGATATGGGCCTAGAGGTCGATATCTGGGCCTGGAGTGGAGATATGGGCCAGGAGTGGAGATATGGGCCTAGAGGTCGATATCTGGGCCTGGAGAGGAGATATGTGCCTAGGATGGAGATACGGGCCTGGGTGTGGAGATATGGGACTGGAGAGGATATATGGGCCTGGAGTGGAGATATGGGACTGGAGAGGAGATATGGACCTGGAGTGGAGATAAGGGCCTGGATTGGAGATATGGGCCCAGGGTGGAGATCTGAGCCTGGATTGGAGATATGGGCCTGGATTGGCGATATGGGCTTAGGGTGGAAATATCGGCCTGGAGTGGAGATATGGGCCTGGAGTGGAGATATGGGCTTGAGGTGGGGATATGGACCTGGAGGCTGGGTCTCTGCACAGCCGACAGCCCTGTTCTTGGGTGCAGGTAGGCACTGAGGGTGAGTTTACCTTCAGCCCAGGAAGGGCCTGGCTACCAAGACTCACAGCCCAGTGGGGGCAGCAAGGGTGCCCTGGTTTGCCTGCAGATGGGTCATCCATCATGATCTTTCTTTCCAGGGTTCTTCTTGCTGCAGGGGGCCTGGCCACATGAGGGTGAGTCCTTCTCCCAACCTTCGGGTGTCATCTCCCCACATAAGAGGATTTTCCTGAAATGGGAGGGAAGTCCTGTCAGGGAGTCTCTCATAAACTAGGAAGAAGGGACCCTGGGGTGCTGGGCCCACATTTCTGACCTTGCCTCCCTGGCCTTTCATTCCCTTGGCAGAGTCAAGTTCTGTGGGGACCAGGGTTAGACTACGGTGCTCAAAGCTGGGGTGTGTGGTGGGGAAGTGGTAGGAACAGCAGATCCTCTGAGGACAAAGGTGTTACTCACACACTTCAGCGTTTCCATGACGGTAGGGGCTGCAGTGTGGCTGCTGTCATTCTACCAGAAGAGGTGGGAAAACCACAGCCATGGCCCTGACATTCCAATCCTCTGATGGGGACTCAGTTGTTTATTTTCGTTCAGGCATCGGCTGATATTCCATTCTCAAAGGACATGCCCTCCACCCCATGTCTACCCTGTGTTGTTTTATGTGAGTAATCTTACAGTATTAAAATCTAGTAGGAGTCTCTTACTCAGCACTTGCTCAAAGTTCTCAGCTGACACTTTTGTTGTAGGGAGACACCTTGTGTTTGCGGGATGGGTCCTTCCTTTAGCCCTGGGCACCAAGGTGTGATAGCAGCCATAGAAACTTGGAAAGCGAGGAGAATCTTCAGAGCACAGGGAGGGAGGGGCGGCTCCACATCCTCCTCTCTAAGGCGGTGCCTCCTTCTCCCCACGGTGGTCAGGACAAGCCCTTGCTGTCTGCCTGGCCAAGCCCTGTGGTGCCTCCAGGACATGTGATTCTTCAGTGTCATTCTTATCTTGGGTTTAACAACTTCAGTCTGTAAAAGGAAGATGGGGTGCCTGTCCCTGAGCTCTACAACATAATATTCTGGAACAGCCTTTTCATGGGCCCTGTGACCCCAGCACACGCAGGGACCTATACATGTCGGGGTTCACAACCACACTACCCCAGTGGGTGGTCGGCACCCAGCAACCCCCTGGAGATCACGGTCACAGGTCAGAGGGCTCCTGTCTGGGATTCTCCTTGTCCCACCTCCTGAATCCCAGAGCTCCTGGTGGGCGTGTCCTTGCGGGTCCCATCATGCAAGTCCTGACTGTATTTGGGGTAAAGGGGGATTGAATACAGGGAAATGGGTGCTGTGGTGGGAAGAATAATTGTCCCCAGTGATGACTACATTCTAATCCCTGGAGTCTGTGACTATTTATGATATAGGGGAAGGGACTGAAGGAGAAGATGGAGCTCAGGTTGTTGATGAGTTGACCTTGAGATGGGGAGACAGCCTGGACTGTCCTGATGGGCTCAGTGTAGTCACAGGGGTCCACATGAAAGGAGGAGGAAGAGGGGAGTGGGGATTACAGCAGCATAATGGGAGTCTCCATCAGCTTTGAAGGTGGAGGAAGTCCAGGAGCCATGAATGCAGGTGGCCTATAGAGGCTGGAAAAGTCAAGGAACTGATTCTCCTGAGTCTCCAGAGGGAACGAAGCCCTGCAGGTGCCTTGATTTTACCCACGACAAACAGGGTCCGATTTCTGTCTCCAGAATTGGAAGGGGTTAGTGTGCTCTCTCCTGGTGCCATGCTTCTGATAATTTTCTACAGCAGCAACAGGAAACCAACACTGGAACCCAGGTCAAGGACAAGTTAAGAAACAACACAAGGATAGCCAGGCATGGTGGCAGGTGCATGTAATCCTAGCGACTTGGGAGGCTGAGGGCAGGAGAATCACTTGAACCCAGGAGACAGAGGTTGCAGTGAGCCTAGACCACACCACTTCACTCCAGCCTGGGCAAAGGAGTGAGACTCTGTCGCCAAAATTAATTAATTAATTAAAGAAACCAAACAAGGAGAAGGTTGGCTACACTGAGATCAGCAAGGCTCAGATGATGATGCCACCACCAGGCTCCATCCACATAGGGAGGGGTTGATACTCCTCCAACCAGCACCAGGAGCCAGCCTATGGAAGCTGGCACTGGCATGGCAAGAGTGGCTCCCAGTCCCTACCAGGAACAGGGTGTGTGGCCACTGGTGCCTGCCTTACTGATCAGTTCATACCTCCTGCCAAGGATTCCAATTCGTCCAAAAGAGATTGAACCAGGCTGCTAAGAGCCTGGATGTGCAGCCTATCCTGGTTCCTCTTCCACCCCCACATAGACAGCAGGAAAGACATTAGTTCGAAATAGATACAACAGCCCAAGAGATGAGGCTGAGCCCAGCAGCAAGGGAATCAGAGGCTACTAGAGACAGAGGGACAGAGAAGAGTGAGGGAGACAGATGGAAGGACCTGCACCAGGAGTTATGGGCACAGAAAAGAACATGAAGACACAGAGAGGAAGGAGAGAGATAAGACACCAGGAAGGGGAAGCCTGACTCAATCCAGGTGCCATGGATGGGATGATAAAGAGAGACACCTTCTAAACTCACAACCTCTCTTCCTAGGAGTCCACAGAAAACCTTCCCTCCTGGCCCACCCAGGTCGCCTGGTGAAATCAGAAGAGACAGTCATCCTGCAGTGTTGGTCAGATGTCATGTTTGAACACTTCCTTCTGCACAGAGAGGGGATGTTTAACGACACTTTGCGCCTCATTGGAGAACACCATGATGGGGTCTCCAAGGCCAACTTCTCCATCAGTCGCATGACGCAAGACCTGGCAGGGACCTACAGATGCTACGGTTCTGTTACTCACTCCCCCTATCAGGTGTCAGCTCCCAGTGACCCTCTGGACATCGTGATCATAGGTGAGAGTGTCCAGACTTTCTTCTCATTGTCATTGGGATGCAGAGTGAATGATCCAGGAATTGGAGACCCAGGTGGCTGTAAGGAAGATGAGCTTGGTATTCTTATGGAGAGAGACTGACTTGGTGAGGTCTGTGCCAACAGAGACAGAGAAACAGGAGACACAAGTAGAGACCAGGTGTCATAACAGAGAACAGACACAGGGGCCATACCGGGAGTTAGAAAAGACAGAAAGAGTTAAAGGAGACACACAGACAGACATGTCCCAGAGAGAGGTGTCCCTCCATGCTGACTTTGCTCAGAGACCTGGCACAGGTTAGAAGTTTCATTTCTGTTTTACCTCCACAAAGTGTTCTCTACCAGGAGAACCCAAGGACACCCATATTTCTGACCTGAGTTGGGCCCTGTGGCCTCAGGCCTTGTGGCACCTACAGATGCCATGTTTATTCTGACACCTCTGCCTTCCATGTAATGGAGAGTAATCGTCCCAGGATATCATGGCCCCACAACACCAACCCCTGTATGCTGTGTGAACTTGTAGTCTCCAGACTGGATTCTGAGGCTCATATTCCAAATAAGCCCACTTATGAGAGGATCAGTGAGAGGCACAGAGAGAAATCAGGGACACCAAAAAGCAAAGACATAAACACACAGAGAATGAGCCAGAGGAAGGAGATTGAGAGACTCACAGACACATAAAGAGAGAGAAAAGAGGGCAGAGGAGTGGTGAGAATGATGGAAGGGAGCAGAGAAAAGCACTAAAATTAGACTCCTGAGGGAGAGGCACAAGGACATTGAAAGATGGAGATGTGGGGATGAATTGCAGAGATTCCAAAGAGAACTAGAGAGACCGAGAGGCAGAGCAAGACAGATGATAGATGGATAGATATAGATAGATGATAAATAGGTAGATGATAGATAATAGGTTATAGATACATAGATGATGATTGATTGATTCATTAATAGATGAGACATAGAGATGATGATGATGAAGACAGATAGATAGATAATACATAGAGATACAGAGGCAGACATAGAGAAATCATAGAGAGAGAGAGATGATACATAGATATAGATAATAGATGATTGATGGATAGATAGACAATTGATGGATAAATAGATGATATATAGATATAGATGACAGGTAGAGAATTTGTAGATAGGCACCGAATAGATAAATAGATAGATCGATAGATAATAGATAGAAATATGCAGAAAGTTATGGACAGGACACAAAGTGAGAAACTCAGAATTAAAAAAAGTAACATCAAGTCAACCAATCCAAGGAGAGTCAGAGAGAATAAAACAATCCAAAAAGAGAAAACATATCTAGAGGTGGGGAAGTGAGGTCAGAGACCTAGAGAGACAGAGAAGGTGGAAGGAGGAAATAGACATGAAGAGCGATGGGGTAGAGGGTGAGAGAGAGAGAGAGAGAGCATTAGGTCATAGAACAGGGGAGTGAGTTCTCAGCTCAGGTGAAGGGAGCTGTGACAAAGAAGATCCTCCCTGAGGAAACTGCCTCTTCTCCTTCCAGGTCTATATGAGAAACCTTCTCTCTCAGCCCAGCTGGGCCCCACGGTTCTGGCAGGAGAGAATGTGACCTTGTCCTGCAGCTCCCGGAGCTCCTATGACATGTACCATCTATCCAGGGAAGGGGAGGCCCATGAACGTAGGCTCCCTGCAGGGCCCAAGGTCAACGGAACATTCCAGGCTGACTTTCCTCTGGGCCCTGCCACCCACGGAGGGACCTACAGATGCTTCGGCTCTTTCCATGACTCTCCATACGAGTGGTCAAAGTCAAGTGACCCACTGCTTGTTTCTGTCACAGGTGAGGAAAGCCCATGGCTGTCCCATGTCCTATGATCCTAGAGCCTTAGCTGAGGAGCTTCCTGCTGAGGATGGAGAGAAGCATGGACAGATGCAGAGAGAAGACGCAGCCTCGGTGTGAGGGAGGGATCAGGGCACAGGATGGCCGACAGGGCACCTCCAAACCCTCCTACATGGCCTGCATGGAGGCCCACGGCCAGGGCTCCAGGCACCCAGGCAGATGGAGAAAGCGGTCAGGAGAGACCCAGAGGAGGGAGACTGGGCTCAGTTTGGGGAGATCAGAGGTTCCCTCAGCCCCTCAACCTTACCCATTTCCCAGAAGCCCATCCTGGCCTCTCACCCACACAGAGATGTCATCACCAGCAACCCCTACACCCTTTACTTTTCTTTGAAGAAATATTTATTGAGGATAAATATACCTATATAGCTTACCACTTTTAACATTTTTTTTTGAGGTGGAGTCTAGCTCTGTCCCCTATGATGGAGTGCAGTGGCACAATCTCAGCTCACTGCAACCTCCGCCTCCTGGGTTCAAGCGATTCTCCTGCCTCAGCCACCTGAGTAGCTAGTGCTACAGGCACGCACCACCACGCCAGGCTACTTTTTGTATTTTTAGTAGAGAGGTGGTTTCACCATGTTGGTCGAGCTGGTCTCGAACTCCTGACCACGTGATCCACCCGCATCAGCCTCCCAAAGTGCTGGGATTACAGGCATGGGCCACCAGGCCCAGCCACATTTACCATTTTTAAGTGTAAAGTCTAGTGGTCATAAATACATTTTTATATATATATATATATACATTTTTTTTACCCTCCACCCTTTTCTTCCTGTCCTCCAGTAGCCACCATTCTACTCTCTACCTTCATGAGATCCACCTTTTAGCTCCTGTATATGGGTGAGAAATGGGAATCTTTTTAATGACCTCCAGTTCCATCCATGTGGCTGCAAATGACAGGATGTTATTCTTTCTATGGATGAGTAGTCTCCACTGTGCGTATGTACTACATTCTCTCTATCCATTCACCCACTGATGGGCAGGTAGGTTGACTCCTCATCTTGGCTACTGTGAACAGTGCTGCACCAATCATACGAGTGCAGATATCACTTCGATATGTTGATTTACTTTCCTTTGGATATAAACCCAGTAGTGAAATTGCTGGATACTATGAAAGTTCTCTTTTTTTTTTTTTTTTCTTTTTTGAGAAAGAGTTTCCCTCCTTAGCCCAAGCTGGAGTCAAAGTGGTGCAACCTTGGCTCATTGCAACCTCCGCCTCCTGGGTTCAAATGATTTTCCTGCCTCAGCCTCCCTAGTAGCTGGGATTACAGGTGCACACCACCATGCCTGGCTACTTTTTGGTTTTTTTAGTATAGATGCGGTTTCCCCATGTTGGCTGGGCTGCTCTCAAACTCATGACCTCAACTGAGGTGCCCGCCTCAGTCTCCCAAAGTGCCGGGATTACAGGCATGATCCACCTCACCCAACCTCTTTTTAGTTCTTTAAAGGACTTCCATACTTTTCTCCGTAATGGCTGTACTAATTTACACTCCTCCCAACAGGGTACCAGGGTTCTCCTTTCTCTACCACCTTGCCAGCATTTCTTTTGCCTGTCTTGCAGCTAAAAGCCATTTTATTTTATTTCATTTTATTTTGAGATGGAGTTTTGCTCTTCTCACCCAGGCTGGAGTGCAGTGGCGCTATCTCGGCTCACCACAACCTCCACCTCCCAGGTTCAAGCGATTCTCCTGCCTCAGCCTCCCGAGTAGCTGGAATTACAGGCACACGCCACCACGCCCTACTAATTTTTGTATTTTTAGTAGAGACAGCGTTTCTCTATGTGGGTCAGACTGGTCTCAAACTCCCAACCTTATGAGATTCACCCACCTCAGGTTCTCAAAGTTCTAGGATGACACAAGTGAGCCACCTCACCCGGCCTAAAAGCCATTTTAATGGGGTGAGATGAAAACTCACTTTGATTTTAATTTGCGTTTCTCTGATGATGAGTGATACTGAGCACTTTTTCGTATGTGGGGAAATTTCATGTCTTTTGCTCCTTTTTCAATTAAATCATTTGTTTTATTGAGTTGTTTGAGCTTCTTATATTTCTAGTTATTAATCCCATCTCAGATGCATAGTTTGCACATATTTGCTCCCAATCTGTGGGTTGTCTCTTCACTTTGTTGGTTTATTTTTAGCAGTGCTGAAGTTGCTTAGTTTGAGGTAATCCCAATGGTCTATTTTTGCTTCGATTACTTGTGTTTTGAAGGTTTAAAACAAAATGTCTTCCTTCAGACAAACGTCCTGGAGCATTTCCCCAATATTTTGTTCTACGTGTTTCATAGGTTCAGGCCTTAGACTCACATCTTTAATCCATTTTCATTTGATTTTTGTGTATGGTGACAGGTAGAGTTGCAGTTTCATTCCTCTGCATGTAGATGTCCAGGTTTCCCTGCACTGTTTATTGAAAAGACTGTCCTTTCCTGATTGTGAGTTCTTGGCATCTTTGTCAAAGTCCATTGGATGGGCTGGGCTTGGTGGCTAACACCTGCAATTTCAGCACTTTGGGAGCCCGAGGTGGGTGGATCACCTGAGGCCAGGAGTTCAAGATTAGTCTGGCCAACGTGATGAAACATCGTCTCCACTAAAAATATAAAAATTAGCTGAGCATGGTGGTCAGCACCTGTAATACCACTACTCAGGAATTTGAGGCAAGAGAATGATTGAACCCAGGAGGCTGAGGTTGCAGTGAACCGAGATTGCACCTCTGCACTCCAGCCTGAGTGACAGAGCAAGACTCCATCTCAAAAGAAAAAATAAAAAACCATTGGATGTAAATGCATGGAATATATCTGTGTTATTCATTCTGCTCCGTTGTTCTATGTGCCTTTCTTTATGCCAATGTCATGCTATTTTGCTTACTACAGCTCTGTAACATATTTTGAGATCAGGTAGTGTGATGCTCCTGTTTTCTCTTTATATCTTGAAGTCTCAAGACAGTGGGTGTCATATAAAAAAATTATGGAAAAAAGGATCCCAGGACTCCCAGGGCTCAATATTAGATAAGAGAGTGTTGGCCATGAACCATCCTCAAAGATTTCCACTGAGTGGAGGACAGACACCCTCATTTCCTCACCTCTCTCCTGTCTCATGTTCTAGGAAACCCTTCAAATAGTTGGCCTTCACCCACTGAACCAAGCTCCAAAACCGGTGAGTACAGAACCCTCTTATATCCGCTTTTGGAACCCTGGGGAGGTGGGAACCTTGGATTCAGGCGTTGACTCAGCATCTCACAGCTCTGACATTGTACACTTGTCTTCCACCATCTCCGAACTCCAGATACTCCTACAGCGAAAGGGATCTGGGCCCAACACAGGGCTCAGTGAAATCTCTTCATCTCTCATTTTATGGAGCTGAGACCTCCTACAAGCTAGAAGAATGATTGCCAATCTGACATCCTTCTCAGGAAAAATGCAATGTTTGTTCTACCTGCATTCCTAACTGGAGGATAAATTCCTGGAGACTTGAGAGAGGGAAGGGAAGGGAACATCTGATGAGGGCAAGGTGTTTTAGAGAAGTTCCACTTGCCAAGGAATGAGCTCCTGTAGGTCATGAAGCAACCCTGGCTGACTCCGCAGAGAAAGAGCCTTGCCGTAACAGAGAACAGAGCTCATGCACGCACACTTCGACTCACTGACTCATTCAGCCACGGCCCCATGCTCAGGCTGTGCAGTGTGGAACCTTTTCCTATTGTTGCCATAACAAATTTCCACAAGATTCGTGGGTGAAAACAAAACGGTTTTTTAATTATCTTACAGTGCTGTAGCTCAAAGTAGGAAGTGCATCTTACTGGGCTAAAATCAAGGTGACAGCAAGGCTGCCTTCCCTCTGAGGATTCCAGGCACGAATCTGCTTCTCACTTGTCCCAGCTTCTAAAGGCTCCCAGTTCCTTGGCTCCTGGTCCCCTTCCTCCTTCCTCAAAGCCCACAAAGACTGGTCACATCTCACATGGCATCACTCAGTGCCTTCTTCCTTACCACACCTCTTTCTCTGAGTGCTGCTCTCCCTTCTTCCTCATCTTTTGAAAACTTGGGGATTCTATTGGGTTCACCAAGATGAAAATCCCTCATAATCTCCTGGAAATCATCCAGGATACCCTTGTTTTAAGTTCAGCTGATTAGCAACCATAATTCCATCTGCAATCTTCATTCCTCCTTTCCATGTAAAATAACATATTCACAAGCTATGGAGGCTAGGACAGGGACATTTTGGGGTGGGACAGCATTCTCCTGCCTTCCACAAACAGTGAACAAGATGCATTTGGCCTCTGCCCTTGGGACACTGATATTGCAGATGGTTAAATGGGAGGGCAGAAAATGAACGCACAAGTGGATCTATAAATGAATGGTCCATTGGGAAGCATCTGTGCATGAAATCTATTTTTTGTTTGTTCTTTTGTTTATTGAGACAGAGTCGCCCTCTGTCTTCCAGGCTACAGTGCAGTGTCACGATCTTGGCTCACTGCAACCTGCGTCTCCTGGATTCAAGTGATTCTCCTGCCTCCGCCTCTCGAGTAGCTGGGATTACAGGCAACTGCCACCGTGCCCGGCTAATTCTTTTTGTATATTTTTTGTAGAGAGGATGTTTCACCACGTTGGCCAAGCTTGTCTGAAACTCCCAACCTCAAGTGATCCGACCGTCTCAGCATGCCAAAGTAATGGGACTACAGGCGTGAGCCACTGTGCCCAGCCAGAATTCAAAATCAATAATAGATAATGCTGAGTGTATGATTTCAGGTGACAAAGAAGGTCTCACTATTCAGATATTTGTGACATTAATGAAAAACACGGAATGAACCCCTGAAAGATTGGCGGAAGGATTTTGCACACACAGCTGTCAGCCATGAAGGCACAAAGGTGAAAACAATCTGATGTGGAAGGAAGAGGCTCTGACTCAAATGCTGGGAATGAGGTGGGGAGAATGACAAGACGACTGTAGAGAGACGGAGAGCACACTGGGTACACAGGAAACTAAGGAGCAACAAGGAGTGTGTGTTTGACACTCACAGCCATTGGATTCACCTCGGGGTAACCAGGAATCCCTACATGATTAATATGACTGACATGAAAATAAGGGAGGCCCAGGTGCATAACTGGAATCTAGGAGACCGTGGAAAAGGCAATTGCCGCCCCACTGGTGAAATGTGGTGCTGATTTAGACACTAAATGAATGAAGTAGATGGATATAAGATATGTTTGTGAGGTAGAATCATTGACTGGAAAGGCTTACTGGGTTTGATTTTCCTACTTGTTTAATCCTCGCTTAATTAATTTCTTTCTGAGATTTATTCATCCTACACATAAATCAATACCTGGCAAAGGAGTGACAGATATATGAGTGGTGGTGGAAATGAAGAGACTTATTATAGCATAATATACAAGTCTGTGAACAGTGGCTCACGCCTGTAACCTAGCACTGCAGGAGGCCAAGGTGGGTGGATTCCATGAAGTCAGGAGTTCCAGACCAGCCTGGCCAACGTGGTGAAACCCTATCTCTACTAAAAATACAAAAATTAGCCGAGCACGATGGTGCATCCCTGTAATCCCAGCTCCTATTCTGGAGGATGAAGCAGGAGAATGACTTCAACCCAGTAGGTGGAGGTTGCAGTGAGTGGAGATTGCATCACTGCACTCCAGCCTGGGGGACACAAGGAGACTCTATCTCAAAAAATAAAAATAAGAAATACATAAATATAATAAAACACACACGAATGACAAAGGCACCTGAATTCCAATCATCGTTTTTCTATTTCTCTATAATTACTTCTTTGATCCTTTATCTTATCCATTAGGCAATGAGCCTAAAACCTCTTCCCTATTTGGCTTTCTGTGAGCATGAGATCATATAGAAAATGTGAAAGCCCGCTGAATCCTCCAGCACAGATCCTGGAATAGAGAAAGTGCTCTGGTCATCACAAAAAAAACTTGCCCACTCACCCAAATCCCCCACCTCACCCCTACTTCCAATCACCTGTGGAGATTCAGATAGACCATGGGGAGGTAAACATTAACACTCCTTGGAGTGAGTCCAGATCTTGGAATCAGAGATCAGCGACAGCACTAGCTCCTGCTCCCCTTTCCTACTAATTCACAGGAGGACAGGTGGTTTTGAAGCAATAGATGGCCGAGGGGGTGGTCCTTCCCCCAGCCTCTCGGGTAGAACAGCAGCCTAATATGTGTCTCCCGAGATCACAAAGAGCAGCAGGTTTCACACGGGCTTCAACACTATTTCCTGGCCGTTTGACATAAGAGAATTCTATTTCGCTTTTTTTATCTTGATTTCACTTTTGTTTTCTTTCCTTGGAGAATGCAAGTTGTTTGATTCAAGAATGCTGTGGATGTAGAAACCCTAAAGCACATTCGCTGTGAATCAATCCCAGTCCAGTCTTCCCAGAGAAGACTCTAAACACCTCCTGGACTGCACCTGGGCCTATGCCAATTCCTATCACTCACCGTCACTCCAGGGAGACAGAACACACAGAGAATACGTTACATAGGCAGGTTCATTACTAACAGATAAGCAGCGAGTGACAACAGAAACCTATATTTCAATGTGACCCAGTCCCTCAAGGCTCAGAAAAGCTCCTCGGGACATATGGAGTCACCCCATTTGCAGTGTAGCTGCGGGAAGCCAGAAAGCAGCCCAGCCTGGGTTTTGTACCCTGGAGCCACAGGAAGCACTCAGCTAAAGCACTGCATGACGTCCTCCAGGAAGAACAGGAAGACAGCCCAGGGTGTTCTGAGACGTTCCTCCTGATCTCAGGAAGTTGCTGTCTTAGGCCATTTTTGTTGCTCTAAAGGAACACTTGAGCCTCGGTAACTTCTAAAGAAAAGAGATTGGTTTGCCTCACCGTTCTGCAGGCTGTACTGGAAGCATGGCACCAGCATCTATTTCTCGTGACGGCCTCAGGCTGCTCCCACTCTGGCAGAAGGGAAGGAGGGTCTGTCTGTGCAGAGACCACAGAGATCACACGGCAAGAGAGGGAGCAAGGGGGAGGGGGAGTGATGGAGCTTCCAAGCTCTTTTTAACAACCAGCTCTCCGGGAACTAATAGAGGGGGAACTTGCTAACCCCGTCTCCTTGGGACAGCATTGATGTGTTCATGATGGATCCACCTCCATGACCCAAACACCTCTCAAGAGGCCCAACCTCCCACAGTGGGGGTGAAATTTCAATGTGAGGTTTGAAGGGGTCAAACATCTCAACTAAAGTAGTCGTATCCTCAGCACGTTCTATGGTTACTATGAGAGCTATAACTGAAAAAGCAGGAGAAAGCTGGGTCTCCTGCCATCTGGGTGCTTGTCCTAAAGAGGTGTTTTATGTGGTTACCTGTCAATCAAGAAATGCGAGACAATTCATAAAGAGGAACTGCTAAGATTAGCTTCTTATTGGTGTCTCATCTTCTTCCAGGTAACCCCCGACACCTGCACATTCTGATTGGGACCTCAGTGGTCATCATCCTCTTCATCCTCCTCTTCTTTCTCCTTCATCGCTGGTGCTCCAACAAAAAAAGTAAGTCTCACGAAGCAGAGGCCAGAGAGCTCAGGGCCATGTGGGGAAGCAGGATGGGAGCACTCAGGTGTGTGTTCCTCACAAACAGGATGGTCCCTGGCCCAAGGCAGCAGCCACAGAGGCAGGACTTTCTAGAGAGGGCACCAGACTCCCTGTCCCTGCCTTCAACTCACAGACCGTTGCCTGATTCTGAACTGTATCCCCATGTCCCCTGCAGCCACTCACATCCAGGAGAAGGTTCCATGACAGGCAGAAAGTGGGAGACAGAATCAATGGGATGGGAACTCAGAGCTATTCATGGGATGGGTCCTTGAGCTCAGAGAGATAGAATGTCTGAGTCTGCTGTTGGCAACTGAGGGACCTCAGCCACCTATGGTCTCCCCCTGTATGTTGGTATCTGCTTATGAAATGAGGACCCAGAAGTGCCCTCCGAGCTGTTTTGTTGACTTCCATCTTCTACAGATGCTGCGGTAATGGACCAAGAGTCTGCAGGAAACAGAACAGCGAATAGCGAGGTAGGTACTCCTCGGCCCGGGCTCGTGGCTACTGTTATTCCCAAAGAGTCCTGGAAAATGTGAGCACCCTCCCTCACTCAGCATTTCCCTCTCTCCAGGACTCTGATGAACAAGACCCTCAGGAGGTGACATACACACAGTTGAATCACTGCGTTTTCACACAGAGAAAAATCACTCGCCCTTCTCAGAGGCCCAAGACACCCCCAACAGATATCATCGTGTACACGGAACTTCCAAATGCTGAGTCCAGATCCAAAGTTGTCTCCTGCCCATGAGCACCACAGTCAGGCCTTGAGGGCGTCTTCTAGGGAGACAACAGCCCTGTCTCAAAACCGGGTTGCCAGCTCCCATGTACCAGCAGCTGGAATCTGAAGGCGTGAGTCTGCATCTTAGGGCATCGATCTTCCTCACACCACAAATCTGAATGTGCCTCTCACTTGCTTACAAATGTCTAAGGTCCCCACTGCCTGCTGGAGAAAAAACACACTCCTTTGCTTAACCCACAGTTCTCCATTTCACTTGACCCCTGCCCACCTCTCCAACCTAACTGGCTTACTTCCTAGTCTACTTGAGGCTGCAATCACACTGAGGAACTCACAATTCCAAACATACAAGAGGCTCCCTCTTAACGCAGCACTTAGACACGTGTTGTTCCACCTTCCCTCATGCTGTTCCACCTCCCCTCAGACTAGCTTTCAGTCTTCTGTCAGCAGTAAAACTTATATATTTTTTAAAATAACTTCAATGTAGTTTTCCATCCTTCAAATAAACATGTCTGCCCCCATGGTTTCGGTAATGGGACTCTTTTCTTGCCTAAGGCTTCCGGTGTTATCAGTACCATGTCCATATAATCCCATCTGTTCCCCACTGAGTTCTCATCCCCGGACTCTGAGTTTCTGGAAGCAGGGTGGAGCCTCATTTGTCTCTGGGACTCCAATTTCCATCCAAAGATGTAGCACATAGGAGGTTCCAAGGATCACGAATCATATGAACAAGTGATACTCTTACTCTCTGCAGACCTGGAAAGCTGGCAGAGTCATTCCACAATGAAACATTTGTAGAATCATAGGCCTTGTTAGTCTCATCTCCATGGGGACACATATCAACACATCATCTTTCATAATATAAATATACGGTCACTCCTCCATATCTGCGGGGTTTACAGGTGTTTATTGAACCAAGTATAAATCAAAAATATTGAGAGAAAGTATCCACAGAGTTTCAAAAAGCATAACTATGTTGAATGGACACAAATGAAGCTGTGTGTAGGCTGTATCAGGAATTATAAGTAATCTAGAGATGATTTCATGTATACAGGAGGATGTGCATAGGTTATTTGCAAACGCTGTGCCATTTCATATAAGAGGCTTGAGCATCTACAGATTTTGGTATCTGAGTGGAGATCTCAAAACCAATCACCCACGAATAGTGAAGGATGACCGTATATGACTTTTATTTCTCAAATTTAAATATAAATCATAAAAAATGTACAACTAGATAAAAACTAAGAAGTGTTTTTATAGTGTGAGTTAGATTTATTTTTTCCTAGGTGTAACCAATTGGTTTAATATTATTTATTGAGAAGACATTCTATGCCACCTTAAACCACACGGCAGCCTTTGTCAACTCTAAAGGGACTGTGTGTACATGGATGTATTTTAGACACTGTTTCTGCTAAGGGGCTCTCTGTGTCCACACTCTTGATGATGCTGCACTTTATGTAGCCTTATAGAACCCTTTAAATTTAGTAGCCAGAGCCCTCTAATTTGTTATTATAGGCTGTTTGCTTTTTTTTTCTTGAGGCGGAGTCTTGCTCTGTCGCCCAGGCTGGACTGCAGTGGCACAATCTCAGCTCACTGCAACCTCCGCCTCCCAGGTTCAAGCGATTCTCGTGCCTCAGCCTCTTGAGTAGCTGGCGTTACAGGTGCCTGCCACCAGGCACGGCTAATTTTTGGATTTTTAACAGAGACACGGTTTCACTATATTGGCCAGGCTGCTCTCAAACTCCTTATCTCAGTTGATCCGCCCACCTCGGCTTCCCAACGTGCTGGGGAAAACTTGATTTTCTATAGCATTATGTTACTGGATATTTCTGTAAAATTTAAAACGAGGGAGGGAGAGAGACAGACAGAGAGCAAACTCCAGAGTTGGGACTCTGGAATCTTGGGTCATGAGACAAATTTTAGATTAAACTACAAAACTCCAGAATTTACAGGTGTGGTTTTTGCTGATAAAGTACAATTCTAAGATTGTAAATAATTGCATAATCCTTCCCTGGGAATTTAAATCATTTTAGCTGGTTCTGCTGTAATACTAGAAATACAAGCATGAAAAATTCTAATGGTTTATTAGTCACAATGACTCCGAAAACATTAATAATACCTATTAGATACTTTGCATATTACACAGGAAGAAGAGTTTGAATCTCAGATAAAAACAAAAAAAATACATGAAAAGTCTTTCATGTTAGCACAGATTTTAGGCATCTCGTGTTCGGATAAAAATACATGAAAAGTCTTTCACGTTAGCACAGATTTTAGGCATCTTGTGTTCGGGAGGTTGGATCTGAGACGTGTTGTGAGTTGGTCATAGTGAAGGACGTGAGGTGCCAATTCTAGTGAGAACAATTTCCAGGAAGCCGTGTTCCGCTCTTGAGCAAGCATCCACTGGGCCTCATGCAAGGTAGAAAGAGCCTGCGTACGTCACCCTCCCATGATGTAGTCAACATGTAAGCTGCATGGGCAGGGCGCCAAATAACATCCTGTGCGCTGCTGAGCTGAGCTGGGGCGCGGCCGCCTGTCTGCACCGGCAGCACCATGTCGCTCATGGTCGTCAGCATGGCGTGTGTTGGTGAGTCCTGGAAAGGAATAGAGGGAGGGAGTGCCACATCCTCCTCTCTAAGGTGGCGCCTCCTTCTCCCCCAGGTGGTCAGGACAAGCCCTTCCTCTCTGCCTGGCCCAGCCCTGTGGTGTCTGAAGGAGAACATGTGGCTCTTCAGTGTCGCTCTCGTCTTGGGTTTAACGAATTCAGTCTGTCCAAAGAAGACGGGATGCCTGTCCCTGAGCTCTACAACAGAGTATTCCGAAACACCGTTTTCATAGGCCCTGTGACCCCAGCACATGCAGGGACCTACAGATGTCGGGGTTCACACCCACACTTCCTCACTGGGTGGTCAGCACCCAGCAACCCCCTGGTGATCATGGTCACAGGTCAGAGGGCTCCTGTCTGGGATTCTCCTTGTCCCACCTCCTGAGTCCCAGAGCTTCTGGTGGGAGTGTCCACCAGCGTCCCATCATCCAGACCCTAACTGTATTTGGGGTAAAAGGGGATTGAATACAGGGAAATGGGTGCTGTGGTGGAAAGAATAATTGTCCCCAATGATGACTGCATTCTAATCCCTGCAGTCTGTGACTATTTATGTTATAGGGGAAGGCACTGAAGGGGAAGATGGAGCTCAGGTTGTTGAGTTGACCTTGAGATGGGGAGACAGCCTGGACTGTCCTGCTGGGCTCAGTGTAATCACAAGGGTGCACATGAGAGGAGAAGGAAGAGGGGAGTGGCGATTAGAGCAGTGCAATGGAAGTCTCCATCAGCTTTGAAGGTGGAGGAAGGCCATGAGCCATGAATGCAGGTGGCCTATAGAGGCTGGAAAAGTCAAGGAACTGATTCTCCTGGGTCTCCAGAGGGAACGCAGCCCTGCAGATGCCTTGATTTTAGCCCTCAAAAAACAGGGTCCGATTTCTGTCTCCAGAAACGGAAGGGGTCAGTGTGCTCTCTCCTGCTGCCATGCTTCTGATAATTTTCCACAGCACCAACAGGAAACCAACACTGGAACCCAGGTCAAGGACAAGATAAGAAAGGACACAAGGATAGCCGGGCGTGGTGGCAGGTGCATGTAATCCTAGCAACTCAGGAGGCTGAGGGCAGGAGAATCACTTGAACCCAGGAGACAGAGGTTGCAGTGAGCCTAGACCACACCACTTCACTACAGCCTGGGTGAAGGAGTGAGACTCTGACTCCAAAATTAATTAATTAATTAAAGAAACCAAACAAAGAGAAGGTTGGCTACACCGAGATCAGCAAGGGTGGGATGATGATGCCACCACCAGGCTCCATCCACATAGGGAGGGGTTGATACTCCTCAAACCAGCACCAGAAGCCAGCCTATGGAAGCTGGCACCATGGAGAAGGCACAGGCATGGCAAGAGTGGCTCCCAGTCCCCACCAGGAACAGGGTGTGTGGACACTGGTGCCTGCCTTACTGATCAGTTCATACCTTCTGCCAAGGATTCCAATTCGTCCAAAAGAGATTGAACCAGTCTGCTAAGAGCCTGGACGTGCAGCCTATCCTGGTTCCTCTTCCACCCCCACATAGAAGCAGGAAAGACATTAGTTCGAAATAGATACAACAGCCCAAGAGATGAGGCTGAGCCCAGCGGCAAGGGAATCAGGAGCTACTAGAGACAGAGGGACAGAGAAGAGGGAGGGAGACAGATGGAAGGACCTGTACCAGGAGTTATGGGCACAGAAAAGAACATGAAGACACAGAGAGGAAGGAGAGAGATAAGACACCAGCGAGGGGAAGCCTCACTCATTCTAGGTGCCATGGATGGGATGATAAAGAGAGATGCCTTCTAAAGTCACAACCTCTCTTCCTAGGAGTCCACAGAAAACCTTCCCTCCTGGCCCACCCAGGTCCCCTGGTGAAATCAGAAGAGACAGTCATCCTGCAATGTTGGTCAGATGTCATGTTTGAGCACTTCCTTCTGCACAGAGAGGGGAAGTTTAATGACACTTTGCGCCTCACTGGAGAGCTCCATGATGGGGTCTCCAAGGCCAACTTCTCCATCGGTCGCATGACGCAAGACCTTGCAGGGACCTACAGATGCTACGGTTCTGTTCCTCATTCCCCCTATCAGTTGTCAGCTCCCAGTGACCCTCTGGACATCGTGATTACAGGTGAGAGTGTCTGGACATTATTCTCATTGTCACTGGGACACAGAGTGAATGATCCACGACTTGGAGGCCCAGGTGGTTATAAGGAAGATGAGCTTGGTATTCTTATGGAGAGAGACTAACTTGGTGAGGTCTGTACCAACAGAGACAGAGAAACAGGAGACACAAGTACAGACCAGGTGTCATAACAGAGGACAGACACAGGGGCCATACAGGGAGTTAGAAAAGACAGAAAGAGTTAAAGGAGACACAGACAGACATGTGCCAGAGAGAGGTGTCCTTCCATGCTGACTTTGCTCAGAGACCTGGCACAGGTTAGAAGTTTCATTTCTGTTTTACTTCCACAAAGTGTTCTCTACCAGAAGAACCCAAGGACACCCATATTTCTGGCCTGAGTTGGGCCCTGTGGCCTCAGGCCTTCTGGCACCTACAGATGCCGTGTTTATTCTGACACCTCTGCCTTCCATGCAATGGAGAGTAATCGTCCCAGGATATCATGGCCCCAGAACATCAACCCCTGTATACTGTGTGAACTTGCGGTCCCCAGACTGGATTCTGAGGCTCACATTCCAAATAACCCCACATATGAGAGGATCACTGAGAGACACAGAGAAAAATCAGGGACACCAAAAAGCAAAGACATAAACACACAGAGAATGAGCCAGAGGAAGGAGATTGAGAGACTCACAGACACATAAAGAGGGAGAAAAGAGGGCAGAGAAGTGGAGAGAACAATGGAAGGGAACAGAGAAAAGCACTAAAATTAGAGTCCTGAGGGAGAGACACAAGGACATAGAAAGATGGAGATGTGGGGATGAATTGCAGAGATTCCAAAGAGAACTAGAGAGACCGAGAGGCAGAGCAAGACAGATGATAGATGGATAGATATAGATAGATGATAAATAGGTAGATGATAGATAATAGGTTATAGATACATAGATGATGATTGATTCATTCATTGATTAATCGATGATACATAGAGATGATGAAGATGAAGATAGATAGATAATACATAGAGATAGAGAGGCAGACAAAGAGAAATCATAGAGAGAGAGAGACGATACATAGATATAGATAATAGATGATTTTTGGATAGACAATTGATAGATAAATAGATTATATATAGATATAGATGACAGGTAGAGAATTTGTAGATAGGCACCAAATAGATAAATAGATATATTGATAGATAATAGATAGAAATATGCAGAAAGTTATGAACAGGACACAAAGTGAGAAACTCAGAATTTAAAAAAAGTAACATCAAGTCAACTAGTCCAAGGAGAGTCAGAGAGAATAAAACAATCCAAAAAGGGAAAACATATCTAGAGGTGAGAAAGTGAGGTCAGAGACCTAGAGAGACAGAGAAGGTGGAAAGAGGAAATAGACATAAAGAGAGATGGTGTGGAGGGTGAGACAGAGAGAGAGAGCATTAGGCCATAGAGCAGGGGAGTGAGTTCTCAGCTCAGGTGGGAGGGGAGTTGTGACAAGGAAGAACCTCCCTGAGGAAACTGCCTCTTCTCCTTCCAGGTCTATGTGGGAAACCTTCTCTCTCAGCCCAGCCGCGCCCCATGGTTAAGGCAGGAGAGAGCGTGACCTTGTCCTGCAGCTCCCGGAGCTCCTATGACATCTACCATCTATCAAGGGAGGGGGAGGCTCATGAACTTAGGTTCCCTGCAGTGCCCAAGGTCAATGGAACCTTCCAGGCCAACTTTCCTCTGGGCCCTGCCACCCACGGAGGGACCTACAGATGCTTCGGCTCTTTCCGTGACTCTCCCTACGAGTGGTCAGACCTTAGTGACCCACTGCTTGTTTCTGTCACAGGTGAGGAAACCAGTCTGTTCCCCAAATAGTGGGACTCAGATGGACTACAATGGCCACATTCAGGGGAGCCTCAGATGGAGGGGGTGGCCATGGGGGTGTCAGCCAGAGATGCTGGACAGAAGAGACACAAAGCAAACATACAGAAAGAGGCATAGACAGACAGACAGAGCGAGGCAGACAGATCACATTAGGGTTTGGGGTGGTAACTGCAACCCTACCTGAAGCTTGCAGATAGAGCACAGGCCACATAAACCACTTCCCAGTCTTTGTACAGAAGCCCACCTGGGACACATGTAAACAGCATCAATGCTGACTCAGGAGCATGAAAGGCCGGGCTCAGATTGGAAAGACTAGAGGTAGCATTGGCCGCCCGCCATTGCCCATTTCCAGAAGCCCCCACCTCTCACCAAAGAGTGATTTCCACATGGGGGGCACAGATGCAACCATCGTTGGGGGAGCCCCAATGTCTCTTGATGGGAGGCATTTTCCACCCTAGATGTTTTTTGCTCTCTCCACACCTTGGAGACTCAGTGGGGGAGTCTTCTCTGGGGACTCGGGGAGGGCCTCCCTGGGACTCGCAGGATTTCCAAGCTAGATGACAACATGACAGGTGGAAACAGGCCCATTCCTTCGCCAGGGGCCCCAAGCTCCATCCCAGGAGATGAGAAGAGGCTCTTCTCATTGGTCAGTGGATCCCTGAGGGGACAGAGGCTCAGCACTGAAGGCTGAGAAGGATCTGCCACTTCGCTCAGTGGCCTCAAGCCAGACATCTTCCCTACAGACTTGCAGTGATTCTCCATCAGCATTTAGGGCTGTGGCCACCAACCTGGGTGTTGGTCTGTAGGAACTTTTCATTTCTGACCTTCCATAACTGAGTTCTCTTCCTAAATGTGGAATGCCTTGTACTCCATGTTACTCTCTCCCCAGAAAGAATGTGTGGCTTGTCTGCTCTCCAGCCCTGTCATGGAGATTGATAATCCTTAGGGAGCAAGAGGAGAGGGAAAGAACAAAGTATGAGACCACCTAGGTGCTACTGGTTGAGGTTCCATTTGCCAGTGAAGGGACTTCACTCAGCCGAGGGGGCAACTCAGGGAAGTCAGCCGAGGGAGGGCATTAGAGTAGAGAGAACTGAGCTCACCCAGTAAATGACCCCTTCACTAACTCATTCATCTAATATTTATTTCACACCTACCATCAGTTCTCTCTGTTTCACGGCCAGGAGTAGACAGCACGGCCAAGCTCCTGGGTTCATGATGCTCACATTGCTGTGGGGTGGGAGAGAGAGGCAGAACATGAATGAATGAATGAGAGAATGAATGAATGAGTGAATGATGGAATGAGTGAATGAATGAATGAATGAATGTATGAATTAGTGAGTGAATCCTTAGCACTTGGTGAAAGTGCCATGCACAGAATGAAATGAATGAACGTGGAACGTTGTCATTTGGAGTGTACAGGAGGGAACGTCTCACTGAGACCTCATCAGAGAGATCACATTTAAACTCCGATCTTAGAGACAAGAGGGAGTGAGCCCTGGGGAGTGTGTTGAAAGGAACTTTCATGGACTTAGGACATTGGGGATGACCCTAATGTGAGAATGAGCTTGGTGTGTTCCAAGAAGTCCATGGACCTGCCATATGGTGAGGGCTGGTCAGAATCCAGAGAGATTTCTAAATGCCCTTGTGCTTGTAAGGAAAGTGAGTCCTGTGGTTGGGAGTGGACTTATACCTTGGGTCAGGTCCAGCAATTATCTTTCTAAATCCTCTCTAATTGCCTGAACCACTTCTATCAACAACTGAGAAAAGAGGAGTGTTAAACACCCCACTGTGGCCGTGGATTTGCCTACCTGTCCATTTATTTCCGCGACTCTTCCTCCATGTATATTTGCAGGAATATTACTGGGAGTGGTTAAGTGTAAACTGATTATATATTCCTGGTAAATTTAAAATGCTATAAATTTACCTGCTTTTTTCCTACATTTTATGCTTAATGTTTTCCGCTGATTTTTCCCAAAGACTAATTTTGTCTAATTTTAATATAGTTATACCACATTTCTAACAGTGATTGCTTGGTATATTTCTACATTGTTTAATTTCAAACTCCATGAATTGTTAACATTGAGATGTGTCCTTTGTAAATTTCAAACAATTCGCCTTAGAAAGTAAGACTTTCTGACAATCTTTTGTTCATGTTTGAGCAGTTCTTCCAATCATATTTTTGTTATTATTACGTTGTGTTTTCCTGATTCCCTTTTTTTCCCACTGACTTCTGTGGTTTTCTATTTCAAACATTCTATTTTTGATCTATGTCGTTTAGGAATACATATATGGTGTACTCATCCTGAAGTTGTTACATATTTTTAAAATTGAAATTAATCATTTCAGAGATTAAACTGCAAATATAAAAACATATTTCCACTCTTCCTGTGTAAGAACAGGATTTTAGAGCATATTTAGTACATATGTTTGTATTTACTTATATGATGTTTTGTTTTGTGGTATACATAATTCTATCTTTTTCAGAAATTACACAGGGGCGTGTTTTCATACACTATCGTATGGTCCATATTCATTTTTGGCATAGCCATATTTTTAGTTCTTCCTCTGCTCTTAGTTATTGTCAGAATCTTCGACACCCCATCTGGTTTCACTTTCTTTATCTTTGAGGCACGGTCATCAGAATTTCCTTTAGGGTCAGTGAGAAAAGCTTTCTTTGCCCTTTTGTCTTTCAGTTCTGTTTCTTTCCTGCGTTGATCTTGGACAGTAACTGTACTATGTAAGGAATTGTCGGTGGCTGGCGACGGTATCTTAGCTGGGTAAAGATGCTATTCTACTGGCTTATGTTTTCCTTTTTTCTGTGGGGAAGACAATGCTTGGCTCCCTATAAATCCTTACCAGCTGATCCTTTTCCTCTGGCTAATTTTAAGGGTTGGTTGTGCTTTTATGCTGCTTTTCTGTAATGTTGAACGTGAGGTGTGTTTACTTCATTCTGCCTGGCATTCACTGGATTTCTTGAACCTGTGGATTGATGGATGTGTCTACTTCCTCCAAATAATCAACAATTGCCTCTTTAAAGATTGCTTCTGACCTGTTTTCTCGTTCTTTCTTTTTGGAACTCAAGTTAGGAGCATTCTAAAACTGTTGTCAATTTTTACCCTGTCACAAAACTGCTCTTTCTTGTTTCAGTTATTTGCTTTTTCTGTGCATTAATATTGATGGTTTCCTCTGTCATAGAGGATAAATACTCTCTTCACTGTTGTGTACACAACATTTTAACTAGTTATTCTGGTTTAAATTTAATATTGACTTTATCTACATATCACAATTGATTACTGTGTACAGACTTTCTTTTCTATTAGTATAAATTTATGAGGTACACTTGTAATTTTGTGACATGAGTATGTTGCAGAGTAGTGAAGTCAGGACTTTTACTATATCCATCACCCAAATACCGTACATTGTACTCATTAAGCAAATTCTCATCACTCACCCACGTCCCGCCACCCTCCAGCCTTCTAGCCTCCGCTGTCCGTCATTCCACACTCTACGTCCATATGTACACATTACTCCCCTCCCATGTAGAGTGAGAAGATGTGGTATTTGTCTTTCTGAGTGGTTTTATGTAAAATAATGGCGTCCAGCTCCATCTATGTTGCTGCAAAAGACATGGTTTTATTTTTATGACCAAATAGTATTTCGTTGTGTATACACGCATCCTTTTTTTAATCCAATCATTCATTCACAGACACTTAGATTGATTTCATATCTTTGCTATTGCAAACAGTGCTGCAATAAACATACAGGTGCAGGTATTTTTTGAGTAGATACCCAGCAGCGGGACCCCTAGATCGAATGGTGCTTCTATTTTTGGTTCTCTGCCAAATTTCCATACTGTCTTCCATAGAGGCTATACTAATTTACATACCGGCCAACAGTGTATAAGAGTTTCCTTTTCTCTGCATCCTTGCCAACACCTGTTATATGTTTCACTTTTTCTTTTTTTCTTTTTGAGATGGAGTCTTCCACTGTCACCCAGGCTGGAGTGCAGTGCCGCCATCTCCACACGCTGCAACCTCCACCAACCAGGTTCAAATGATTCTCCTGCCTCAGCCTCCTGAGTAGCTGGGATTACAGAACCACACCACCATGCCCAGCTAATCTTTTGTATATTTAGTAGAGATGGGGTTTCACTATGTTGGTCAGGCTGGTCTCAAACTCCTGACCTCATGATCCACCCGCCTCAGCTTCCCAAAGTGCTGGGATTACAAGCGTGAGCCACCACTCCCCACCAGCATTTTTAGTAATAGCCATTCTGACTACTGTAAGATGATATCTCATTGTGGTTTCAATTTGCATTTCTCTGATGATTAGTGATGTTCATACGCTGTTTGGCCATTCGTATGTCTTCTTTTGAAAAATGTCTATGTATATCCCTTTGCCCACTTTTTAATGCTATTATTTGAGGGGTTATGTTTAGTTGTTTGAGTTGCCTAGAAATTCTGGATGTTAGTCCTCTGTTGGGTGCATAGTTTGCAAACATTTCCATTCATTCTGTGGGTTGTCTGTTCACCCTGCTACTATTTCCTTTGCTTGGCAGAAGCTCTTTCGTTTATTAAGTCCCATTGGTCTAGTTTTATTTTTATTGCCTGTGCTTTTGAGGTCTTAGTGATGAATTCTTTGCCCAGACCAATGCCCAGAAGAGTTTCTCTTTGGGTTTCCACCGGTGATTTTATAGTTCTGGATTTACATTTAAGCTGCTAATTACCTTAAGTTAATTTATGTGTATGATTACAGATACAGGTCCAGTTTTATTCTTCTGCATATGGCTATTTAGTTTTCCCAGCACCTTTTATTGAAAAGGAAATCTTTCTCCAGTGTATGTTTTGTTAACGTCGTCAATGATTATTCACTGTAGATATGAGGCTGTATTTCTGGGCTCTCTATTCTGGTCTATTGATCTCTGTTTCTGTGTCTATACCAGCACTGTGCTATTTAAGTTACTATAGCCTTAGAGCATAGTTTGAAGTCAGATAGCATGATGCCTCCAGGTTTCTACATTCACCTAGAATTGCTTTCTCTATTAGGATCTTTTTTGGTTCTGTATGAATTTTAGGATTGCTTTTTCTAATTCTGTGAAAACTGGTGTTACTATTTTCATATAAGAATTGCACTGAATCTGTAGATTGCTTTAGGCAGTATGGTCATTTTAACAATATTAATTCTTATGATCCATGAGCGTGGGATTTTTTTTCTTTTTTTTTTTTTGTATTATCTATAATTGCTTTCATTGGTGTCTTACACCTTTCCTGGTACAGATCTTTCACCACCTTGGTTAAATGTATTCCTGAGTGTTTTAATTTTGCGTATCTATTGTAAACGGCATTGCCTTCTTGATTTGGTTCTCAGCTAGATCATTATAGGTGTAGAGAAATGCTACCGGCTTTTACATATTGATTTTGTATTCTGAAACTTTACTTAGTTCATTTATCAATCATAAGAATTTTTGGCAGGGTCTTTAGGATTTTCTAGATTTAAGATCATAGCATCAGAAATAAAAATAATTTTACTTCCTCTTTTCTAATTTGGATTTTTACTTCTTCCTGTTGCCCAATAGCTCTGACAAGGCTTCCAGTACTATGTTGATAGGAAGTGGTGGATGTCCGTGTCCTTGTCTTGTGCCAGTTCTCAGAGGAGTGCTTTTAACTTTTCCTGTTCAGTATGATGTTGACTCTAGATATGTCATCTATGGCTTTTATTATTTTGAGGTATGTTCTTTCTATGCCTAAGTTTTTGAGGGTTTTCATCAGGTAAGGATGTTGAATTTCTTTTCAGATGCTTTTCTTTATGTCTATTGAGATGATCATATGGTTTTTGTTCTGGATTCTGCTCGTTCTTCTAAGTGGATGAGACATGCCAGAAAAGCATTTAGTCAGCCATCTTGGAAACAAGCATCTCAGATGTTTTCTTTCTCTATAGCTCATTCTTTCTTACCAGTGTTTTCAATTTTGTACTTAATTTTGTAAAGAGAGTAAATGATATAATTTCCACATATGTTTCCTCTGCCAAATCAGACTCACTATGCTTCCTTTCCTTGTATGCATAACCTACCCAGCAATACACACAAACATTTATTGCTTTGGAGAATTAGTTTGGGAACATTTTTGAAATGTACAAAAAAATGTATATCTTCAAAAGAAATTTCTTTTTGTGGCAAAAGACTTCTGAAGGTGCTCATGATGATATAGGGAGAAGAGGGGTTCTGGACAGGAAGAATTTTATGAAGGTGAGATGGGGAAATAGCTCCATTTCAGAGCTTCTGGGGAGAGAGGGGCCTGGCCCACATGGAAAGGTCTCTGATCTTACCCCCACCCTCCAGCCCCTGTTCTCCAGAACTATACTGTGGAGAGTTCCATCAGGATTGTTGTGGCTGGTCTGGTCTTCCTGGCTCTTTTGGCAATGCTGGCTAAGACCTGGTGGAGACATGAGGGGCCACAGGTGGAAATGGAAGAAACATGACTGAAGCTGGCTGGAGTGAATGGCGCGACATTCTGTCTGTGGGAGATTGGCCAGATGGGTTTCAAGTGTGTTGTATCAGCTGTGACTTTTAGTAATGTTCTTGCTACCACAATATCCACTCGTCCATCCCGAATAATTGTGATGAAATATTGTCCTTGGGATAATATTCATTTGCTAAAGACAGGGATGATACCTCAAGGTGCCACTATATACATCGAGGGGATCCACAAAAGTCCATTCAGTAAAATGTAGTTGGCATCTTAGGGTAGGTTGATTCCACCTCTAAAAAAGTAGGTACAACATCAGGTTGATTTTTCCGAAGAAAAGTGGTGATTGGCCATCTTTAGTCTCAATGTAAACGGTAATACTGATGAGTGTGGAAAAGGCAGGGAAGAGGATTGACAATAAGTGACACTCATTGTTTTCATCTGAGCTTTGAGACTGAAAGAGGAACACAGGAGTGAGATGTATGGGAACAAACCCCTTCTTTTTCCAGCTAAACAGAGTGGAAGTTGGACACTGAGTTTTGGCGTACAGCAAAATCCTAAGTCCATTGTTGGGTTGAACACGGCCATGTTGTACATCCTGGTTTCACAGCAGACACTGGAGGAAAACAGCCTGTATTCATAAGAGGCTGTCCCTCGGGTCACTGCCCAGAATATCCGGAGTTGGTGCTCACAGGGTTGGGAACTCTCCTGGACCAGACAGGCTCTGGATATGGGGGGGTACCAAGCTCCCCGGGGCCATGCCTCCACAGCTCTCTTCTCACCTCATTCTTGACCATTTCCCAAACCTCTGACCTCACCTTCATTCATCCATGGTGAACACGCTAAAGCTGGCCTTCAAAGCTTGAGACAGAGGAAAATTGGGCTTCATCTCTGGGAACTAAATTGGGGAGTGGAGACTCAGTTCTGGCCTGACAGGAGGGAGAAGACCCTGGATCCCAGTGTGGATGGGAAGAAGTATGTGTTTCTCTTTTGTGCTTGGACCCTGTGTCCAAGCATGTCTGAGATGTGATGAAGATGAATCTTCCTTTCCTTGTCTATTTTCTCATGCCAGAGAATTGGAATCTTATATTCCATTAACTCTTTCTGTTCTGTTCATCCAGATTCTATGAAGGAGAAAGGAAAAGATGTGATACTGTAATTTTGCTCCATTTGTCTAAAATGAGTAGGCTGCAACTCCTCTTGAAGTGATACCTTTTCTAGCTCTTGTTGGAGGTGTCTCAGGACTCATTACTTCGGGGAACCTGCAACTGTGTCAGTCTGGGGAAACTGCAAATATTCTTGTCTTACATTTGTCTCCAGCCAATTGTGATGGACTCCAGTGACCTGCAATTGCTGTTATTGCAGGTAAAATGTACCTGAGTCAGGCCACAGTTCTCCTGGACTATGAGCCCCTGGCCATGTTCCTGAGGCAATTCTGTTCATCTAAATATAATAATAATAACACACTAAAAATGGCAAGCCATTGTTAATTCCTGAAGTCTCATTTGAAAATTACTAAATGTCTGTTATTTTTTGGTGTTTACATTATATGTAGACAGATAAACTACACACACACACACACACACACACATGCACACAGAAGAATGGATTGGTTCATGTAGAAAAGTAAATAATTCAAGATGAAAGGATGAAATGTCATGGCACCTACTATTCTATTTTAGATAAAGGGTCTATGAAAAGATTGATTTCTTTTTATGTTTTATTTGTTGACATTTGAACACAAACTATGTAAGTGAGGGAGTCGATTTGAAAGGGAGAAGAGCAAGTTCAAACACATTCAGGTGAGGTCATGCTTTACATGTTTTAATTGAAATGATCCATCTTGGGAGTAGATCAATAACTGAGATGGTGCCAGGAATGTTAAAAAGCTTTTGTCAGTCCTAAATATTGACAAATAAAATTTAATTAAAGTCTTAGAAGAAAACACAAAGGAAAACTTCACAACATCGGATTTGGCAGTGATTCTTTAGATGTGACAACAACGGCACAGGCTACTACAGAAAAAATAAACAAGTTAGACTTTATGAAAATTTTGAAATATTGTGACTCAAAAGACAACATCAGTTACTTCACATGGCAAGGAAAAAGAACTTTTAAGACGATATTATCAAAGTAAAAAGACAACCCACAGAATGGGAGAAAATGTTTTCAAACCACACCACCTGTAAGGGATTAACATCCAGAATATACAGACAACTCCTAAAACTCAATCACAATAAACTCAATTCAAAAATGGGCAAAGTACTGAAACAGACATTTCTCCAAAGAACATACGCATGAAAAGATATTCAGCATCACGAATCATTAGGGAAATACTAACTAAAACTACACCAGATGCCATTTCATACCCCTTAGGATGGGTATCATCAAAACAACAACAACAACAACAACAAAGTTTCTATACATTAACAACAAACTATCCAAAAAAGTTTACAAGAAAATAAGCCCATTTGCAATAACTACAGAAAACAAAACATGCAGGAATAAATTCACCCAAGGAGTAGAAAGATCTGTATGCAAAAGCTATAAAACATTGATGAAAAAACTCAAGAAATAAACAAATAAATCGAAAGATATTCCATGTTCACGGATCAGAAGGATTAATGTTGTTAAAATGTCCATTCTATCCAAAGTGATTCAATGCAACCATTATCAAAAATCCAATGACATTTTTTTTACAGAAATAGAAAAAACAGTCCTAAAATTCATGTGGAACCACAAAAGATCTCAAATAACCAAAGCCATCTAGAGGGAAAGGAACAAAGTTGGAAGAATCACATTACCTAAACACAAACTACATTACAAAGTTACAGTAATTAAAACAACACAGTACTTGCATAAAAACAGACACATAGACCAATGGAAGTGATTCATAGCCCAGGAAAAAAAATGCACGCATTTAGGGTCAAACAATTTTTGGGATGTATCAAGAACACACAATGGAGAAGGAACAGTCTCTTTAATAAATGGGATTGGGAGACATGCAGAAGAATGGAAGTGGACATTTGCCTCACAAAACATACAAAGTCAACTCAAGATAGATTAATGACTTAAATGTAAGATGAAAGACTATCATCCCAGCAATTTGGGAGGCCAAGGCGGGCAGATCACCTAAGGTCAGGATTCCAAGACCAGCATGGCCAACATGGTGAAATCCCGCCTCTACTAAAAATACAAAAACAGCTGGGTGTGGTTGTGGGTGCCTGTAATCTCAGCTACTCGGGAGGTTGAGACAGGAGAATCACTTGAACCCAGGAGGTAGAGGTTGCAGTGAGCCGAGATCGCACCACTGCACTCCAGCCGGGGCAACAGAGTGAGACTCCATCTTAAAAAAAAAAAAAAACTACTAAAAGAAATCAAGGGAAAACTCCACTGGCTTGGGCAAAACCATTTTGGATATTAACCCAAAGGCCCAGGCAACAAAAGCAAAAGTAGACAAATAACATTATATCAAATTGAAAGTTTCTGCAAAGAAAAAAAAAAACTCAACAAGTGGAAAGACAACCTATGGAATGGGAGAATATATTTGCACCCATACATCTAATAAGGAATTAATATCCAAAATATATAAGAAACTCAAACAACTCAATGGTAAGAAATCAAATAACCCAACTTAAAAAAATGGGCAAAGTATCTGAATAAACATTTCTAAGAATAAGACAAATCACCAAAAGGTATATGAAAAAATGATTAGCATTACTAAACATCAGCTAAATAAAAATTAAAACTAGAATGAGATATCACCTCACACCTCTTAGAATGACCATTAACAGTCTGGGCATGGTGGCTCATGCCTGTAATTCAGGCACTTTGGGAGGCCGAGGCAGGGAGATTACCTGAGGTCAGCAGTTCGAAACCAGCCTGGCCAATATGGTGAAATCCCATCCCTACTAAAAATACAAAAATTAGCAGAGTTTGGTGGCGCACACTTGTAGTCCCAGCTACTCTGGAGACTGAGGCAGGGGAATCGCTTGAACCCAGGAGGCAGAGGTTGCAGTACACCGAGATTGTGCCACTGCACTCCAGCCTGGGTGACAGAGCAAGACTGAGTCTCAAAAAAAAAAAAAAAAAGACCATTATCAAAAACATAAAAAATAACAAGGGTTAACGAGGATGTGGAGAAAAGGGAACATTTGTATGCAGTTGATGGGAATGTAAATTAGCACAACCATTATGGAAAACAGTCTGGAAGTTCCTGAAAAAATTAAACATAGAATTCCCATATGTGTCTGCAATCCAACTACTGCGCATGTATCCAAAGGAAGTGGAATCAGTATGTTGAAGAGATATCTGCATTCCCATGTTTACAGCCGCATTATTCATAACAGCCAAGATGTGGAATCACCCTTACTGCCCATCTATGGGTGCATGGACAAAGAAAACGTGGTATACGATAGGAACGTAATGAAGTACTATACAACCTTTACAACAAAGAAGGAAGTCCTCTCATTTGTGACAATGTGAAAAAACTTAGAGGACATTATGTTAAGGGAAACAATCCAGGCACAGAAAGACAAATGCCACATGATCTCATGTGTGGAGTGTAAGAAGTGGAACCTAGAGGAACAGTAAAATGGTCGTCGAAAGAACCTGGGAAGGAGAGAGATTGAAGAGATGTTGGTCAAAGGATGCAAAATTTCAGTTAGAAGAAATCGGTTCAAGAGATCTATTGTATGTCTTGGTGACTCCATTTAATAGCAACATATGGTGTACTGAACATTACTAAGAGATTAGATTTTACATGTTCTCACCACACACACAAAACATACAAGTATGTGAAAAAATAAATAGATAAAGAGGTTGTTTCATCCATTCCACAATGTGTACCTATATGAAAACATCATGATGGACACCACAAATACCCTTTTCCTCATTAATTAAATTTGTTTTGGCTTTTTTTTTGAGACGCAGTTTCACTGTTGTTGCCCAAGCTGAGGTGCAATGGCGTGATCTCCGCTCACTGCAACCTCTGCCTCCCAGGTTCAAGCGGTTCTCCTGACTCAGCCTCCCAAGCAGCTGGGACTACAGTTGCGTACCACCCCGTCCGGCTATATTTGTGTTTCTAGTAGAGACAGGGTTTCGCCATGTTGGCCAGGCTGGTCTCGAACTCCAGACCTCAGGTGATCCACCCGCTTCGCCCTCCCAAAGTGCTAGATTTCAGGCTGAGACACCACACCCAGCCTGTACATTGACTTTCTGCCCTTAAACTGTGCTGAAGTTTGTTTCTCAGATGTAGGAGCCTTTGGGCAGAGACTATGGGGTTTCTAGGTATAGAAATTATCTCATCTTCAAACAGAGGTAATTTGACTACCTCTCTCTGCTACTCTCTTCTTACTTGGATGCCTTATAATTCTTTCTCTTTCCTGATGGCTCTGTCTAGGACTTCAAGTACTATGTTGAATAGGATGGTGAGAGTGGGCATTCTTGTCTTGTTTCACTTATGAAGGGAACTTCTTCCAGCTTTTACTCATTCAGTATGATGTTGGTTGTGGGTTTGTCATAGGCGGCTCTTATTATATTGAGTTATGTTTCTTCAATGCTTAGCTTGTTGAGGGCTTTTAACATGAAGAAATGCTTAGTAAAAAGTATGTTCTACATGTGTGTTGAGAAGATCATGTGGTTTTTGTTTTTAGTTTTGTTTAGGTGATGAATCACATGTATTGATTGTGTATGTTCAACCAACCTTGCACCCTAAGAATAAAGTTGACTTGATCATGGTGGATTCACTTTTTGATATGCTGCGGGATTCAGTTCTTAGTATTTTTTGTGGATTTTTGCATCTATGCTCATCAGGAATATTGGCATGTAGTTTTCTTTTGTTTAATATTCTTTTCTGTCTTTAGTATCAGGGTGATGCCAGCCTTATAGAATGAGTAAAGGCCACCCTGGGCAAACAGTGAGACCCATCCCTTTTTAAAAATTATGAGTTTTACAAATTTAAAATGCATAGTGAAAAAGTTCTTACAAACTCCAGAAAGGTAGGTGTAAATAAGAGACATTTGTAAGAATGACAGCACATTAAATGTGTAGATTTCAACCTTCAGTTATTGCAATATTCCAGTATCAAGTTGGAGGATGTTATCAGTCTGATATTTTTTCCTCAAATGAGAGAGAGAAAGAAAGACACACAAACAACACAGGGAGAAAAAAAGCACACGTTACAGAGAGACAAAAAGGGAGACAGGGAACTGTGAATTTGGACTCTTGTGTCATAAGACAAATTCTAGATAACACGACCAGACCTTCAATTGACATATTGTGTTTTTGCTAATAAGGTGGAATTCTATGATGCGAAATAACTATATAGTCTTTTCTACTGGGATTTAAATCATTTTATCTGTTTCTGGCTTAACAGGAAAAATACAACCATGGAAAATTATGATGATTTATTTAATACGATTGCTCTATAGTGTTAATAAAACCTATTAGGTATTTTGCATATTACATATCAAGGAGAGTTTGAATCTCAGGTAGAAACAAAAAAAAATACATCAAAAGTTCCTCATGTGAGTGCAGAATTCAATCGTCCCGTGCAGGGGTAAGTGAGTCTGAGATGTGTTTTGAGCCTGGCCGTTGCGCATGATGTGAAGTGACAAGTCTAGTCTGCAGTTTTCAGAAACCCTCATTCCTCCCTTGACTGATTCACCACTTGAACCTCATATGACGTAGAAGAAGCCTACCTATGTCCCCTTCACATGTTGTGGTCAATGTGTCAACTGCACGATCCGGGCCCCTCACCACATCCTCTGCACCGGTCAGTCGAGCCGAGTCACTGCGTCCTGGCAGCAGAAGCTGCACCATGTCCATGTCACCCACGGTCATCATCCTGGCATGTCTTGGTGAGTCCTGGAAGGGAAGGAGCACCAGGGTTACACTATGGGCCTGCAGATTGGGTGTCTCCCCAGCAGAGAGCCATGTTCTGAAGCAAGTGAGTGGTGAGGATGAGTTAATTTTCAGTCCAGCGTGGCGCCCAGTGGCTCAGGAGGAAAGGGTAGGTTGCTGCCGAGATGAATAGTTCATCATGATCTTTCTTTGCAGGGTTCTTCTTGGACCAGAGTGTGTGGGCACACGTGGGTGAGTCCTTCCCCAAATGATGGGTTGCCATCTTCACCCCAATACAAGTGAATTTTCCGGAAATGGGAGGGAGGCAGCACAGAGGGTGGGCTGATGGGCTGACCATGGGAAGGCCTGGGGGGAGTCTCTCATGAACTAGTAAGAGGAGATCCTGGGAGTCTCTCATGAACTAGTAAGAGGAGATCCTGGGAGTCTCTCATGAACTAGTAAGAGGAGATCCTGGGAGTCTCTCATGAACTAGTAAGAGGAGATCCTGGTATGCTCAGCCTTCTGTTTTGTCTTAGCCCTCCCCAGCCTTTCTTCCCCATGGCTGAGTTGAGCTCTGTGTGGCCCAGGCGGGATACTGAGGTGCTCAAAGCTGGGGTGTGTGGGGGGATGTGGTGTCACCGACAGAGGAGGGAAGGGTAGCAGTGTTAGGAACAGCAGGTCCTCTGAGGACAAGAGGGTAACTCACACCCTCCAGCGTTTCCATGACGGTAGGGGCTGCAGTGTGGCTGCTGTCATTCTGCCAGAAGAGGTGGGGGAACCACAGCCACGACCCTGCCATTCCAAATCCTCTGATGGAGCTCAGTTGTTTATTGTGGTTCAGGCATTAGCTAATATTCCATTCACAAAGGTCATACCCTCCACCCCATGTCTACTTTGTGTTGTTTGGTGTAACTAATCTTGCAGTATTAAAATCTAGTAAGAGTCCCTTACTCAGCACCTGCTCAGTTCTCAACTGACACTTTTGTTGTAGGGAGACGCCACGTCTATGCGGGATGGGTCCTTCCTGTAGCCCCAGGCACCCAGGTGTGGTAGGAGCCTTAGAAAGAAGAAATGGGGAGAATCTTCTGAGCACAGGGAGGGAGGGGCAGCTCAACATACTCCTCTCTGAGGCGGCATCTCCTTCTCCCCAAGGTGGTCAGGACAAGCCCTTCTGCTCTGCCTGGCCCAGCGCTGTGGTGCCTCAAGGAGGACACGTGACTCTTCGGTGTCACTGTCGTCGTGGGTTTAACATCTTCACGCTGTACAAGAAAGATGGGGTCCCTGTCCCTGAGCTCTACAACAGAATATTCTGGAACAGTTTCCTCATTAGCCCTGTGACCCCAGCACACGCAGGGACCTACAGATGTCGAGGTTTTCACCCGCACTCCCCCACTGAGTGGTCGGCACCCAGCAACCCCCTGGTGATCATGGTCACAGGTCAGAGGGCTCCTGTCTGGGCTTCTCCTTGTCCCACCTCCTGAGTCCCAGAGCTTCTGGTGGGGGTGTCCACCAGAGTCCGATCATCCAGGCCCCAACTATATTTGGGGTAAAGGGGGATTGAATACAGGGGAATGGGTGCTGTGTTGGAAAGAATAACTGTCCCCATCGATGGCCACATTGTAATCCTTGGAGCCTGTGACTATGTTATAGGGCAGGGGACTGAAGGGGAAGATGGAGCTCAGGTTGTTGATGAGTTGACCTTGAGATGGGGAGATGGCCTGGACCCTCCCACTGGGCTCAGTGTAATCACAAGGGTCCATATGAGTGGAGAAGGAAGAGGAGAATGGGGATTAGAGCAGCATCGTGGGATACTCCACCAGCCACTGTGGGCTTTGAAGGTGGAGGAAGACCACGAGCCACGAAGGGGCTGGAGAAATCAATGGAACTGATTCTCCCGAGTCTCCAGAGGGAATGCAGCCCTGCAGATGCCTTGATTGTAGCCCAGGAAGAACAGGGTCTGATTTCTGTCTCCAGAAGTGGAAGGGGTCAGTGTGTTCTCTCCTGCCGCCATGTTTGTGATAATTTTCTCCAGCAACAACAGGAAACCAACACAGGAACCCAGGTGAAGGACAAGTTAAAAAACCAAACAAGAAGGTTGGCTACCCTGAGATCAGCAAGGGTGCACTGCTGATGCCACCACCAGGCTGGAACCACATAGGGAGGGATCGACAGGAAGAGTTGGGGGTGGAGGGTGAGAGAGAGAGAGAGAGAGAGAGCACTAGGCCATAGAGCAGGGCAGTGAGTTCTCAGCTCAGGTGGGAGGGGAGCTGTGACAAGGAAGAACCTCCCTGAGGAAACTGCCTCTTCTCCTTCCAGGTCTATATGAGAAACCTTCGCTTACAGCCCGGCCGGGCCCCACGGTTCGCGCAGGAGAGAACGTGACCTTGTCCTGCAGCTCCCAGAGCTCCTTTGACATCTACCATCTATCCAGGGAGGGGGAAGCCCATGAACTTAGGCTCCCTGCAGTGCCCAGCATCAATGGAACATTCCAGGCCGACTTCCCTCTGGGTCCTGCCACCCACGGAGAGACCTACAGATGCTTCGGCTCTTTCCATGGATCTCCCTACGAGTGGTCAGACCCGAGTGACCCACTGCCTGTTTCTGTCACAGGTGAGGAAAGCCAATGTCTGTCCCATGTCCTATGGTCCTAGAGCCTTAGCTGAGGAGCTTCCTGCTGATGATGGAGAGAAGCATGGACAGATGTGGAGAGAAGATGCAGCATGGTGTGAGGGTGGGATCAGGGCACAGGATGGCAGACAGGGCACCTCCAAACCCTCCTGCATGGCCTGCATGGAAGCTTGCAGTAAGGGCTCCGGGTACCCAGGCAGATGGAGAAAGTGGTCAGGACAGACCCAGAGGAGGGAGACTGGGCTCAGTTTGGGGAGATCAGAGGTTCCCTCAGCCCCTCAACCTTACCCATTTCCCAGAAGCCCACCCTGGCCTCTCACCTACACAGAGATGTCATCACCAGCAACCCCTACACTTTTTCTTTTCCTTTGAAAAAATGCTGATTGAGGTTAAATATACCTATATAATTTATCAACTTTACCATTTTTAAGTGTAAAATCTAGGGATCATAAATACCTTTATATGCTGTGTGCAGTGGCTCACGCCTGTAATCTCAGCATTTTGAGACGCCAAGGCAGGTGGATCATTTAAAATCAGGGGCTGGAGACCAGCCTGGCCAACATGGGGGAACCAATCTTTACTAAAAAGACAAAAAAAATAAAATTAGCCAGGCATGGTGCCAGGCGCCTATAATCCCAGCAACTTGGGAGGCTGAGGCGGGAGAGTGGCTTAAACCCAGGAGGAGGAGGTTGCAGTGAGCTGAGATCATGCCACTGCACTGCAGCCTGGTGACACAGAGAGACTCTGTCTCTAAATAAATAAATAAATACTTTTATATTCTTCTTTTGTTACCCTCCACCCCTTCCTTCCTAACCTCTGGTATCCACCATTCTACTCTCTACCTTCATGAGGTCCACCTTTTACATCCTGCATGTGAGTAAGAAATGGCAATCCTTGTAATGACCTCCAGTCCATCCATGTGGCTGCAAATGACAGGACGTTTCTCTTTGTATGGATGAGTTGTCTCCATTGTGTGTATGTACTACATTCTCTCTATCCATTCATCCACTGATGGGCAGGTAGGTTGACTCCACATCTTGGCTACTGTGAACAGTGCTGGAACAGTCATGGGAGTGCAGATGTCACTTCAATACACTGAAGTCCTTTTCTTTGCATTTACACCCACTAGTGGAATTGCTAGATCCTCTGGATGTTCTCTTTTTAGGTTTTGTTTTATGCTTTTTGTTTTTTTGACATAGCGTTTCACTCTTGTTGCCCAAGCTGGAGTGCAATGGCACCACCTGGGCTCACTGCAACCTCTACCTCCAGGATTCAAGTGATTCTCCAGCCTCAGCCTCCCGAGTAGTTGGGATTACTGGTGCCCGCCACCACGCCTGGCTGATTTTTGTATTTTTAGTAGAGACGGGGTTTCACCATGTTAGCCAGGCTGGTCTCGAACTCTTGACCTCCAGTGATCTGCCCACTTCAGCCTCCCAAGGTGCTGGGATTACAAGCGTGAGCCACAGTGCCTAATCTCTTTTTAGTTTTTAAGGAACTTCCATATTCTTCTCCTCTGTAATGGCTGTATTAATTTACATTCCTATCAACAGTGTATCAGGGTTCTCCTTTCTCCACCACCTTGCCAACATTTGTTTTGTCTGTCTCTGAGATAAAACCCATTGTAATGGGGTGAGATGATAGCTCATTGTGACTTCATTTGCATTTCTCTGATGATTAGTGATACTGAGCACTTTTTCATATATGCAATGTATATATGTTCATTTGTATGTTTTGTTCATTGAGAAATGTCTGTTCAGGTCTTTTACTAATTTTATAATTAAATTATTAGTTTTATTGAGGTGTTTGAGCTTCTTTTATATTCTAGTTATTAATCCCATCTCAGATGCATAGTTTGCAAATATTTGCTCCCATTCTGTGGGTTGTCTCTTCTTCACTTCATTGGTTGCTTCCTTTGCGGTGCAGAAGCTGCTTGATTTGATATAATCCCAATGGTCTATTTTTTTGTTGTTGTTGTGATTACTTGTGTTTTTGAGGTTTTAAACAAAATGTCTTCCCTCAGACAAATGTCCTGGAGCATTTCTCCAGTGTTTCCTTTTAGACATTTAATGGATTCAGGTCTTAAGTCATTAATCCATTTTCATCTGATTTTTGTGTATGGTGAGAGGTAGAGGTGCAGTTTCATCCCTCTGCATGTAGATATCCAGTTTTCCCTGCACCATTTATTGAAATGACTGTCCTTTCCAGATTGTAGATTCTTCGAACCTTTGTCAAAGTCCATTGGATGTAAATGGGTGGATTACATCCGTGTTCTTCATTCTGCTCCATTGTTTTATGTGCTTTTCTTTATGCCAATGTCATGTTGTTTTGTTTACTACAGCTCTGTAACATATTTTTAAGTCAGGTAGTGTGATGCTCCTGTTTTCTCCTTATACCTTGAAGTCTCAAGATAGTTGGTGTCACCTACAATGATTATGGAGAATGGGATGCCAGGACTCCCAGGGCCCAACATTAGATAATAGAATGTTGGCCATGAACCAACCTCAAAGATTTCCATTGAGTAGAAGACAGGCATCCTCATTGCCACACCTCTCTCCTGTCCCATGTTCTAGGAAACCCTTCTAGTAGTTGGCCTTCACCCACTGAACCAAGCTTCAAAACTGGTAAGTGAAGGACCCCTCTTATCTCTGCTTTTGGAAACCTGGGGAGGTAGAAGCCTTGGATTCAAGCGTTGGCTCAGCACCTGCCAGCTCTGTGATTGTGGGCCTGTCTTCCATTGTCTCTGAACCCCAGACACTCCAACAGCGAAAGGGATCTGGGCCCAGCACAGGGCTCAGTGAAATCTCTTAATCTCTAATTTTCTGCTGCTGAGACCTCAGGGTAGAAGGATGAGTGCAAATCAGACATTCTTCTCAGGAAAAATGCTGTGTTTGTTCTGCCTGCATTCCTAACTGGGAGGACAAATGCCTGGGGGCTTGAGAAGGGGAAGGACGGGGAACATTTTTGAGGGTGGTGTATTTGTAGAGAAGTTCTACTTGCCAAGGAATGAGCTCCTGTCTGTCATGATCCAACCCTGGTTGACTTAGTGGAACAAGAGCTTTGCAGTAAGAGAGAACGTAGTTCATCCGTGCACATGACACTTCCACTTACTCGTTCAGCCACTGCCCCATGCTCAGACTGTGCAGTGTGGAACCTTTTCCTATGTTGCCATAACAAATTTCCACAAGCTTCGTGGATGGAAACCACATTTTTAAAAAATATCTCATGGTGCTGTAGCTCAGAAGTATGAAATGCATCATCTCACTGGGCTAAAATCAAGGTGACAGCAAGGCTGCCTTCCCTCTGAATGTTCCAGGCAAGAATCTGCTTCCTCACTTTTCCCAGCTCCTAGAGGCTCCCACATTCCTTGGCTCCTGGTCCCCGTCTTCCTCCCTCAAAGTCCACAAAGGCTGGTCACGCCTCTCACACGGCATCACTCAGACCCTTCTTCCTTGTCCACACCTCTTTCTCTGAATGCTGCTCTGCCTTCTTCCTCATCTTTTAAGGACTTTGGCATTCTATTGGAAACACCAAGATAATCCATCATAATTTCCCTAAAATCATCTAGGATACCCTCCTTTTAAGGTTAGCTGATTAGCAACCGTAATTCCATCTGCAATCTGCATTCCTTTTTTCCATGTAAAATAACATATTCACAAGATATGGCGACTAGGACAGGAACATTTTGGGGTGGGGCGGCATTCTTATCCTTTCCACAAATGGTAAACAAGGTGCATTTGGCCTCTGCTCTTGGACACTGATATTGCAAAGGATTAAATGGGAGGGCAGAAAATGAATGCACCAGTGGACCAATAAATGAATGATCCATTGGGAAGCATCTGTGCATGAGAATGATTGATTGATTGGTTGTTTTTATGAGACGGTGTCTCCCTCTGTGCCCCAGGCTGGAGTGCAGTGGCGGGATCTCGGCTCACCGCAACCTCCACCTCCCAGGTTAAAGCGATTCTCTACACTCAGCTTCCCGAGAGGCTGGGATTACACCCATGTCCCACCACGCCTGGCTAATTTTTTTTTGGTATTTTTTTTTAGTACAGACAAGGTTTTACCATGTTGCCCAGGCTATCTCAAACTCCCAACCTTAAGGGATCCGCCCGTCTCAGCCTCCCAAAGTGCTGAGATTAGAGGCGTGAGCCAAGGCGCCGAGCCGTATTTTAAAAGAAATAATAGATAATGCTGAGTGTATAATTTCGGGTGACAGAGAAGTTCTCACTGATCAAATAATACTTGTGACCTTAATGAAAAAAATAGATCAACCCCTGGAAGATTGGCGGAAGGATTTTCCACACAGCTGTCAGCCGTGAAGGCACAAAGGTGAAAACAATGTTATGTGGAAGGAAGAGGCTCTGCCTGAAATGCTGGGAATGACATGGGGAGAATGACAAGACGACTGTGGAGAGACAGAGAGCACTCTGGGTACACAGGAAACTAAGGAGGAACAAGGAGCGTGTGTTTGATACTCACAGCCATTGGACTTACCTCGGGGCTAACTGGGAATCCCTACATGATGAATAGTGACTGACATGAAAATAAGGGAGGCCCAGGTGCATAACTGGAATCTAGGAGACTGTGGAAAAGGCAATTCCCGCCCCCCTGGTGAAATGTGGTGCTGATTTAGACACTAAATGAATGAAAGATGGACACAAGATGTGTTTGTGAGGTAGAGTAATTTGCAGGGAGGGCTTGCCTGGTTTGATTTTTCCTAATTGTTTAATCTTCACTTCATTGATTTCTTTCTGAGATTTATTTTTCCTACATGTAAATCAATACTTGGCAGAGGAGTGAGAGATACATGAGGGGTGGTGCAAAGGAAGAGACCTATTATAATATAACACACAAGGTTCTGAACGGTGGCTCACACCTGTAACCCAACATTTTGGGAGGCTGAGGAGGCTGGATCAAGTGAGATCAGGAGTTCGAGATCAGCCTGGACAACATGGTGAAACCCCATCTCTACTAAATATACAAAAACTAGCTGGGGGTGGTGGCGCGTGCCTGTAATACCAGCTATTCGGGAAGTTGAAGAAGGAGAATGGCTTCAACCAGGGAGGGAGAGGTTACAGTGAGCCAAGATCGCGTCATTGCACTGCACCCTAGGTGACAGAGTGAGACTCCATGGCAAAAAATAAAAATAAAGAATACATAAATATAATATAACATACACGAATGACAAAGGCACACCAATTCCAATCATCATTTTTCTATTTCTCTATAATGACTTCTTTGATCCTTTATCCTATCCGTAAGAAAATCAGGCGAAAACATCTTCCTTATTTGGCTTTCTGTGAGCATGAGATCATATGGAAAATGTGAAACCCACCAGCACAGGTCCTGGAATAGAGAACGTGATCTGTTCATGGCACAAAACTTGCCCCTTCACCCAAATCCCCCACCTCACCCCTACTTCCAATCACATTAATGATACAGATAGATCATGGGGAGGTAAAAACTAATATTCTTTGGAGTTCAGATCGTAGACTCAGAGACCAGTGCCAGCACTATCTCCTGGTCACCTTTTGGAGTAATTCACAGAAAGACAGGCTGTATTGAAGCAACAGATGATGGAGGGGGTGGTCTTTCCCCCAGACTCTCGGGTGGAACAGCAGCCTAATATCTGACTCCCAAGATGACAAAAGTAGCATGTTGCCCACGAGCTTCATCATTATTTCCTGGCTGTTTGATATAAGACAGCTCAACCTCACTTATGTTGATTTCAATGTCACTGTTTTTTCCTTTTCTTGGAGAATGTAATTTGTTTGAGTCAAGAGGGTTGTGGATGTAGAAACTGTAAAGCACATTCACTGTGTATCAATCCCAGTCCAGTCTTCCCAGAGAAGACTCTAAACACCTCCCATACTGCACCTGGGGCTGTGCCAATTTCTATCACTCACCATCACTCCAGGGAGACAGAACACACAGGGAATACATTACATAGGCAGGTTCATTACTTATAGATAAGCAGCGAGTGACAACAGAAACCTTCCTTTCAGGGTGAGCCAGTCCCTCAAGGCTCAGAAAAACTGCTCAGGACACATGGAGTCACTTCATGTGCACTGTAGCTGGGGGAAGCCAGAAAGCAGCCCAGCCTGGGTTTTGTACCCTGGAGCCACAGGGAACACTCAGCTAAAGCACTGCATGATGTTCTCCTCCAGGAAGAACAGGAAGACAGCCCAGGCTGTTCTGAGACGTTCCTCCTGATCTCAGGATGTTGCTGTCTTAGCCTATTTTTGTTGCTATAAAAGAACACTTGAGCCTGGGTATCTTCTAAAGAAAAGAGATGTGTTTGGCTCACTGATCTGCACGCTGTACTAGAAGCAGGACACTACCATCTATTTCTGGCTGCGGCCTCAGGCTGCTCCCACACTGACAGAAGAGAAGGGGGTCCTGCGTGTGCAGAGACCACAGAGATCACATGGCAAGAGAGGGAGAAAGGGGGTGTGATGGAGCTTCCAAGCTCTTTTTAAGAATCAACTCTCCAGGGTACTAATAGAGGGAGAACTTGCTAACCCCGTCCTCTGGGGACAGCATTAATCTATTCATGATGGATCCACCCCCATGACCAAAACACCCCTCCCAATAGGCACAACCTCCCACACTGGGGATTAAATTTCAAAGTGGGGTTTGGAGGGGTCAAACATTGAAACAATAGCAGTTGTATCATCAGCACATTCTATTGTTATTATGAAAACTATAACGGAGAAAGCAGGAGAAAGCTGGGTCTCCCGCCTCGTGGGTGCTTGTCTTAAAGAGGTGTTTTATGTGGTTGCCTGGCAACCAAGAAATGAGAGACAATCCACAAAGAGGAACTGCTATGGTTAGCTTCTTATTGGATTCCCATCTTCCTCCAGGTATCGCCAGACACCTGCATGCTGTGATTAGGTACTCAGTGGCCATCATCCTCTTTACCATCCTTCCCTTCTTTCTCCTTCATCGCTGGTGCTCCAAAAAAAAAGTAAGCCTCACGAAGCAGAGGCCAGAGAACTCAGGGCCCTGTGCGGAAGCAGGATGGGAGCACGCAGGTGTGTGTTCCTCACTGGCAGGAAAGTCTCTGGCCCAAGGCAGGAGCCAGAGGCAGAGCTTTCTAGAGAGAGCACCAGACACCCTGCCCCTGCCTTCAGCTCACAGACCGTTGCCTGATTGTGAACTGTATCCTCACGTCCCCTGCAGCCACTCACATCCAGGAGAAGATTCCATGACAGGCAGAAAGTGGGAGATAGAATCAATGGGATGGGAACTGACAGCTATTCATGGAATGGGGTCTTGCACTCAGAGAGATGGAATGTCTGAGTCTGGCTGTTGGCAGCTGAGGGACCTCAGGCACCTATGGCCTCCCCCTGTGTGTTGGTATCTGTTCATGAAATGAGGACCCAGAAGTGCCCTCCCAGCTGTTTTGATTGCTTCCGTCTCCTACAGATGCTGCTGTAATGAACCAAGAGCCTGCGGGACACAGAACAGTGAACAGGGAGGTAGGTCCTCCTAGCCCAGCCTCATGGATACAGTCTTATTCCGAAATAGTCCTGAAAAATGTGAACACCCTCCCTCACTCAGGATTTCCCTCTCTCCAGGACTCTGATGAACAAGACCCTCAGGAGGTGACATACGCACAGTTGGATCACTGCATTTTCACACAGAGAAAAATCACTGGCCCTTCTCAGAGGAGCAAGAGACCCTCAACAGATACCAGCGTGTGTATAGAACTTCCAAATGCTGAGCCCAGAGCGTTGTCTCCTGCCCATGAGCACCACAGTCAGGCCTTGATGGGATCTTCTAGGGAGACAACAGCCCTGTCTCAAACCCAGCTTGCCAGCTCTAATGTACCAGCAGCTGGAATCTGAAGGCGTGAGTCTCCATCTTAGAGCATCACTCTTCCTCACACCACAAATCTGGTGCCTGTCTCTTGCTTACCAATGTCTAAGGTCCCCACTGCCTGCTGCAGAGAAAACACACTCCTTTGCTTAGCCCACAATTCTCTATTTCACTTGACCCCTGCCCACCTCTCCAACCTAACTGGCTTACTTCCTAGTCTACTTGAGGCTGCAATCACACTGAGGAACTCACAATTCCAAACATACAAGAGGCTCTCTCTTAACACGGCACTTAGACACGTGCTGTTCCACCTTCCCTCGTGCTGTTCCACCTTTCCTCAGACTATTTTTCAGCCTTCTGGCATCAGCAAACCTTATAAAATTTTTTTGATTTCAGTGTAGTTCTCTCCTCTTCAAATAAACATGTCTGCCTTCATTCTTTAGGTGACTCTTTTTTTGGCTGAAAGTTTCCAGTGTTATCATTACCATGTCCAAATAACTCCAACTGTTCTCCACTGGGTTCTCACCCCTGGACTCGGAGCTTCTGGAAGCAGGGTGGAGCCTGATTTGTCTCTGAGACTCCAATTTCCATCCAAAGATGCAGCACATAAGAGGTTCCAAGGATCGTGAATCACATGAACAAGTGATATTCTTACTCTCTGCAGACCTGGAAAGCTGGCAGAGTCATTCCATGATGAAACATTTGTAGAGTCATAGGCCTTGTTAGTCTCATCTCCACGGGGACACATATCAACACATCATCTTTCATACTATAAATATACAGTCGGTCCTCTGTATCTGTGGGATTTACAGGTGTTTATTGAACCAAATATAAATCAAAAATATTCAGAGAAAAAATCCACAAAGTTTCAAAAAGCAAAACTATGTTGAATGGACACAAATGAAGCTGTGTGTAGGCTGTATCAGGAATTATAAATAATCAAGGGATGATTTCATGTACACAGGAGGATGTGCATGGGTTATTTGCAAATGCTGTGCCATTTCATGTAAGAGGCTTGAGCGTCTGCAGATTGTGCTATCTGAGTGGAGATCCTGAAACCAATCACCCACGAATAGTGAGGGATGACTGTATATAATTTTTATTTCTCAATTTTAAATATAAAACATAAAAAAATTACAATAACAAGATAAAATAAACAAGTGTTTTATAGTGTGAGAATACGTTTAGATATATTTTTCTCTATGTGTAACCCTTGGGCCCATGTTATTTATTGAGAAGACATTCTATTCCACCTTAAACCACATGGCAGCCTTTGTCAACTATAAAGGGACTGTGTGTACACGGATGTATTTTAGACACTGTTTTCTGCTCAGTGGCTCTCTCTCTGTCCACTCTCTTGAGAATGCTGCATTTTATGCAGCCTTATACAACCCCTAAAATTTGGTAGCTGGAGTCCTCTAGTTATTTATTATAGGCTATTTGCTATGCTTTTTTTATTTTTCTTGAGGCAGAGTCTCGCTCTGTTGCCCAGGCTGGAGTGCAGTGGCACGATCTCGGCTCACTGCAACTTCCGCCTCCCAGGTTCAAGGGATTCCGTGCCTCAGCCTCTTGAATAGCTGGCATTACAAGTGCCTGCTACCAGGCATGGCTAATTTTTGTATTTTTAGCAGAGACATGGTTTCACTATATTGGCCAGGCTGGTCTCAAACTCCTGACCTCGGTTGATCACTCACCTCGGCTTCCAAAGTGCTGGGGAAATTGATTTTCTATAGCATTATGTTACTGGATATTTCTGTAAAATTTAAAATGAGGGAGGCAGAGAGACAGAGAGAGAGCAAACCATGAGTTGGAACTCTGGAATCTTGGGACATGAGACAAATTCTAGATAAATCTACAAAAATCCAGAATTTACATGTTGTGATTTTTGCTGATAAAGTACAATTCTAAGATTGTAAATAATTGCATAATCCTTCCCTGGGAGTTTAAATCATTTGAACTGGTTCTGCTGTAATACTAGAAATACAATCATGAAAAATTCTAATGGTTTATTGTCACAATTGCTCTGAAAACCTTAATAATACCTATTAGATATTTTGCATATTACACAGGAAGAAGAGTTTGAATCTCAGATAAAAACAATAAAAATACATGAAAAGTCTTTCATGTTAGCACAGATTTTAGGCATCTCATGTTCGGGAGGTTGGATCTGAGACGTGTTTTGAGTTGGTCATAGTGAAGGACGCGAGGTGTCAATTCTAGTGAGAGCAATTTCCAGGAAGCCATGTTCCGCTCTTGAGCGAGCACCCACTGGGCCTCATGCAAGGTAGAAAGAGCCTGCGTACGTCACCCTCCCATGATGTGGTCAACATGTAAACTGCATGGGCAGGGCGCCGAATAACATCCTGTGCGCTGCTGAGCTGAGCTGGGGCGCAGCCGCCTGTCTGCACCGGCAGCACCATGTCGCTCATGGTCGTCAGCATGGCGTGTGTTGGTGAGTCCTGGAAGGGAATCGAGGGAGGGAGTGAGGGGATGGAGATCTGGACCTGGAGGTAAAGATATGGGCCTAGAGGTGGAGTTATGGGCCTAGAGGTGGAGTTATGGGCCTGAAGTGGAGATCTGGGCCTGGAGTGGAGATCTGGGCCTGGAGTGGAGATAGGGGCCTGGGGTGGAGATATGTGCCTGGAGTGGAGATCTGGGCCTGGAGTGGAGATATGGGCCTGGGGTGGAGATATGTGCCTGGGGTGGAGAGATGGGCCTGGAGGGGAGATATGGGCCTGGAGGGGAGATGTGGGCCTAGAGGTGGAGTGATGGGCCTAGAAGTGGAGCGATGGGCCTGGAGTGGAGATATGGGCCTGGAGGTGGAGTTATGGGCCTGCAGTAGAGATATGGGCCTGAAGTGGAGATATGGGCCTGGAGTGGAGATATGGGCCTAGAGGTGGAGTTATGGGCCCGGAGGTGGAGTTAAGGGCATGAAGTGGAGATCTGGGCCTGGAGTGGAGATATGATCCTGGAGTGGAGATATGGGCCTGGGGTGGAGATACGGGCCTGGAGCAGACATACAAGCCTGGAAAGGAGATATGGGCCTGGAGAGGAGATAGAAGCCTGGAGTGGAAATATGGGCCTGGAGTGGACTTACCAGCCTGGAGAGGAGATATGGGCCTGGAGTTGAGATAGGAGCCTGGAGTGGAGATATGGGCCTGGAGTGGACTTACCAGCCTGGAGAGGAGATATGGGCCTGGAGTGGAGATACGGACCTGGAGTGGAGATCTGGGCCTGTTGTGTAGATCTAGGCCTGGAGGTAGAGATCTGGGCCTGGAGGCTCAGTCTCTGCACAGCCGAGATCCTTGTTCCTGGGGGCAGGTAGGCAGCGAGGGTGAGTTTACCTTCAGCCCAGCAAGGGCCTGGCTGCCAAGACGCACAGCCCAGTGGGGGCAGCAGGGTGCCCTGGTTTGCCTGCAGATGGATGGTCCATCATGATCTTTCTTTCTAGGGTTGTTCTTGGTCCAGAGGGCCGGTCCACACATGGGTGAGTCCTTCCCCAAACCTTAGGGTGTCATCTCCCCACATAAGAGGATTTTCCTGAAATGGGAGGGAAGTCCTGTCGGGGAGTCTCTCATACACTAGGAAGAGGGGACCCTCGGATGCTCGGCCCACATTTCTGACCTTGCCTTCCCCGGCCTTTCATTCCCTTTCCTGAGTCAAGCTCTGTGAAGACTGGGGTGAGACTAGGGTGCTCCAAGATGGGTGTGCAGGGAGGAAGTGGTGTCAGCAGCAGAGAAAGAGAGGGAAGCAGTGCTAGGAACAGCAGGTCCTCTGAGGACAAAGGTGTAACTCACACCCTCCAGCGTTTCCGTGATGGTAGGGGCTGCAGTGTGGCTGCGGTCTTTCTACCAGAAAAGGTGAGGAAACCACAGCCATGGCCCTGACATTCCAAATCCTCTGATGGGGGCTCAGTTCATCAATTGGCTGATATTCCATTCACATAGGACTTGCCCTCCATGCCGTGTCTACTTTGTGTTGTTTTATATGAGTAATTTTGCAGTATTAAAATCTAGTAAGAGTTGCTTCTCCAGCAACTTGCTCAAAGTTCTCAGCTGACACTTGTTGTAGGGAGACGCCAAGTCTATGCAGGATGGGTCCTTCCTGTAGCCCTGGGCACCCAGGTGTGGTAGGAGCCTTAGAAAGTGGAAATGGGGAGAATCTTCTGGGCACTGGGAGTGAGGGGCGGCTCCACATCCTCCTCTCTAAGGCAGTGCCTCCTTCTCCCCCAGGTGGTCAGGACAAACCCTTCCTGTCTGCCTGGCCCAGCGCTGTGGTGCCTCGAGGAGGACACGTGACTCTTCGGTGTCACTATCGTCATAGGTTTAACAATTTCATGCTATACAAAGAAGACAGAATCCACATTCCCATCTTCCATGGCAGAATATTCCAGGAGAGCTTCAACATGAGCCCTGTGACCACAGCACATGCAGGGAACTACACATGTCGGGGTTCACACCCACACTCCCCCACTGGGTGGTCGGCACCCAGCAACCCCGTGGTGATCATGGTCACAGGTCAGAGGCTTTCCGTCTGGGCTTCTCACTGTCCCACCTCCTGAATCCCAGAGCTTCTGGTGGGGGTGTCCGTCAGGGTCCCATCACCCAGGCCCTGACTGTATTTGGGGTCAAGGGAGATTGAATACAGGGGAAATGGGTGCTGTGGTGGGAAGAATCACTGTCCCCAATGATGGCTACATTGTAATCCCTGGAGCCTGTGACTATTTATGTTACAGGGCAGGGGACTGAAGGGGAAGGTGGAGCTCAGGTTGTTGATGAGTTGACCTTCAGATGGGGAGACAGCCTGGACTGTCCCACTGGGCTCAGTGTAATCACAAGGGTCCACATGAGAGGTGGAGGAAGAGGGGAGTGGGGATTAGAGCAGTGTAGTGGGAGGGAGACGCTATCAGCCACTGCGGGCTTTGAAGGTGGAGAAAGACCACTAGTCACAGAATGCAGGTGGCCTCTAAGGGCTGGAGAAGTCAAGAGAACTGATTCGCTGATTCTCCAGAGGGAACGCAGCCCTGTAGACACCTTGATTTCAGCACAGGGAGAACTGGATCCAATTTCTGTCTCCAGAAGTGGAAGGGGTCAGTGTGTTCTCTCCCGCTGCCATGTTTGTGGTAATTTTCTGCAGCAGCAACAGGAAACCAACACAGGAACCCAGGTCAAGGACAAGTTAGGAAACCAAACAAGGATAGCCAGATGTGGTGGTGGGCGCGAGTAATCCAACGACTGGGGAGGCTGAGGCAAGAGAATCACTTGAACTGGGGATTTGTTCAAAAGAGATTGATTCAGGCTGCTAAGAGCCTGGACATGCAGCCTGTCCTCTTCCACCCCCACATAGACAGCAGGAAAGAGATTAGTGGGAAACAGATACAACAGCCCAAGAGATGAGGCTGTCTTCACAGTGGCAAGGGAGTCAGGGGCTACTGGAGACAGAGGGACAGAGAAGAGGGAGGAAGACAGATGGAGGCACCTGCACCAGGGGATATGGGCACAGAAAAGACACGGAGATGCAGAGAGGGAGGAGAGAGACAGACACGGGGAGGGGAACCCTCACTCATTCCAGGTGCCATGGATGGGATGATAAAGAGAGATGCCTTCTAAACTCACAACTTCTCTTTCTAGGAAACCACAGAAAACCTTCCCTCCTGGCCCACCCAGGTCCCCTGGTGAAATCAGGAGAGAGAGTCATCCTGCAATGTTGGTCAGATATCATGTTTGAGCACTTCTTTCTGCACAAAGAGGGGATCTCTAAGGACCCCTCACGCCTCGTTGGACAGATCCATGATGGGGTCTCCAAGGCCAATTTCTCCATCGGTCCCATGATGCTTGCCCTTGCAGGGACCTACAGATGCTACGGTTCTGTTACTCACACCTCCTATCAGTTGTCAGCTCCCAGTGATCCCCTGGACATCGTGGTCACAGGTGAGAGTGTCTAGACATTGTTCTCATTGTCACTGGGACACAGAGTGAATGATCCAGGACTTGGAACCCCCAGGTGGTCATGAGGAAGATAAGTGTGGGATTCTTACGGAAAGAGAGTGACTTGGTGAGGTCTGTACCAACAGAGACAGAGAAACAGGAGACATAAGTACAGAACAGTTGTCATAACAGAGGACAGACACAGGGGCCATACAGGGAGGTAGAAAAGAGAGAAAGAGGTAAAGGAGACACTCAGACAGACAGACATGTCCCAGAGAGAGGTGTCCTTCCATGCTGACTTTGCTCAGAGACCTGGCACAGGTTAGAAGTTTCATTTCTGTTTTACCTCCACAAAGTGTTCCTACCAGAAGAACCCAAGGACACCCATATTTCTGACCTGAGTTGGGCCCTGTGGCCTCAGGCCTTGTGCCACCTACAGATGCCGTGTTTATTCTGACACCTCTGCCTTCCATGCAATGGAGAGTAATCATCCCAGGATATCATGGCCCCTGAACACCAACCCCTGTATGCTGTGTGAACTTGGGGTCCCCAGACTGGATTCTGAGGCTCATATTCCAAATAATCCCACATATGATAGGATCGCTGAGAGACACAGAGAAAAATCAGGGACACCAAAAAGCAAAGACATAAACACACACAAAATGAGCCAGAAGAAGGAGATTAAGAGATTCACAGACACATAAAAAGAAAGAAAAGAGGGCAGAGTGGAGAGAATGATGGAAAGGAGGAGAGAAAAGCCCCAAAATCAGAACCCTGAGGGAGGGACACAAAGACAGAGAAAGATAAATATGTGGGGATGGATTGCAGAGATTCCAAATAGAACTAGAGAGACTGAGAGGCAGAGAAAGACAAGGAGACGGAGAGAGAGAGATGATAGATGGATAGATAGACGTAGATAGATGATAAATAGGTAGATGATAGATAATGGATTGGTTATAGATACATAGATGATGACTGATAGATGATACATAGAGATGACGATGATGATGATAGACACATAGATATATACATAGATGATACATAAATAGAGACAGAGAGGCAGACAGAGAGGTAATAGAGAGAGAGATAGATGATACATATATAGATAATAGATGATTGATGGATAGATAGACAGACAGACAATTGATAGAGAGATAGATAAGTGATACATAAATATAGATGATAGATAATTTGTAGATAGACACAAAATAGATTAATAGATAGAAATGTGCAGAAAGTTATGAACAAGACAGAAAGTGAGAGACTCAAAATTAAAGAAAAAGGAAGATCAAGTCAACCAATCCAAGGAGGGTCAGAGAGAATAAAACAATCCAAAAAGGGAAAACATACCTCAGGGTGGGGAATTGAGGTCATAGACCTAGAGAGACAGAAAAGGTAGAAGGAGGAAACAGATATGAAGAGAGATGGGGTGGAGGGTGAGAGAGAGAGAGAGAGCATTAGGTCATAGAGCAGGGGAGTGAGTTCTCAGCTCAGGTATGAGGGGAGCTATGACAAGGAAGAACCTCCCTGAGGAAACTGCCTCTTCTCCTTCCAGGTCCATATGAGAAACCTTCTCTCTCAGCCCAGCCGGGCCCCAAGGTTCAGGCAGGAGAGAGCGTGACCTTGTCCTGTAGCTCCCGGAGCTCCTATGACATGTACCATCTATCCAGGGAGGGGGGAGCCCATGAACGTAGGCTCCCTGCAGTGCGCAAGGTCAACAGAACATTCCAGGCAGATTTCCCTCTGGGCCCTGCCACCCACGGAGGGACCTACAGATGCTTTGGCTCTTTCCGTCACTCTCCCTACGAGTTGTCAGACCCGAGTGACCCACTGCTTGTTTCTGTCACAGGTGAGAAAAGCCCATATCTCTCTCATGTCCTATGATCCTAAATCCTTAGCTAAGGAGCTTCCTGCTGATGATGGAGAAAAGCATGGACAGATGCAGAGAGAAGACACAGCAGGTGTGAGGGCGGAGTCAGGGCGCAGGATGGCAGACAGGGCACCTCCAAACCCTCCTTCATGGCCTGCATGGAGGCCTCCGATCAGGGCTCCAGGCACCCAGGCAGATGGAGAAAGCGGTCAGGACAGACCCAGAGAAGGGGAGACTGGGCTTAGTTTCGGGAGATCAGAGGTTCCCTCAGCCCCTCAATCTTATCCATTTCCCAGAAGCCCATCATGGCCTCTCACCCACACAGAGAGATGTCATCACCAGCAACCCCTACACCCTTTTCTTTTCATTTTCAAAAATATTTATTGAGGTTAAATGTAACTATATAATTTACCACCTTTACCATTTTTAAAAGTAAAATCTAGTGGTCATAAATACCTTTATATGCTGGGTGTGGTGGTTCACGGTTGTAATCTCGGCGCTTTGAGAGGCCAAGGAAGGTGGATCATTTAAGATCAGGAACTCGAGATCACCCTGGCCAACATGTGGGAAATTCATCTTTACTAAACAGACAAGAAAAATTAGCCGAGCATGCCGGCATGCACCTGTAGTCCTAGCTACTTGGGAGGCTGAGGCAGGAGAAGCACTTAAAGCCAGGAGGCAGAGGTTGCACTGAGCCGAGATCATGCCACTGCACTGCAGCCTGGGAGACAGAGAGAGACTCTGTTTCTAAATAAATAAATACATCTATATTCTTTTTTTTGTTACCCTCCACCCTTCCCTTCCTGGCCTCTGGTGTCCACCATTGTATTCTCCACCTTCATGAGATCCACCTTTTATCTCCTGCATGTGGTGAGAAATGGGAATCTTTGTAATGACCTCCAGTTCCATCCATGTGGCTGCAAATGACAGGATGTTATTGTTTCTATGGATGAGTAGTCTCCACCGTGTGTGTGTACTACAGTTCTCTATCCATTCACCCACTGATAGGCAGGTAGGTTGACTCCACATCTTGGCTACTGTGAACAGTGCTGGAACAGTCATATGAGTGCAGATATCACTTCGATACACTGATGTCCTTTCCTTTGGATATAAACCCAGTAGTGAAATTGCTGGACACTATGAAAGTTCTCTTTTTTTTTTTTCCTTTTTTGAGAAAGAGTTTCCCTCCTTAGTCCAAGCTGGAGTCTAAGTGGTGAGATCTTGGCTCATTGCAACCTGTGCCTCCTAGGTTCAAATGATTGTCCTGACTCAGCCTCCCTAGTAGCTGTGATTACAGGTGCACGCCACCATGCCTGGCTAATTTTTGTACTTTTTTAGCACAGACGGGATATCCCAATTTTGGGCAGGCTGCTCTCAAACTCCTGACCTCAAGTGAGGTGCCTGCCTCGGTTTCCCAAAGTGCTGAAGTTACAGGCATAAGCCACTATGCCCAGCCTCCTTTTAGTTTTTTAAAGAATTTCCATACTTTTCTCCATAATAGTTGTACTAATTTACATTCCTACCAACAGGGTACCAGGGTTCTCCTTTCTCTACCATCTTGCCAGCATTTGTTTTGCCTGTCTTGCAGTAAAAGCCATTTTACTTTACTTTATTTTATTTATTTATTTATGTTGAGATGGAGTTTCACTCATAGTCGCCCAGGCTGGAGTGCAAGGGTGTGATCTCAGCTCACTGCAACCTCCGCCTCCCGCGTTCAACTGATTCTCCTGCCTCAGCCTCCAAAGTAGCTGGGATTACAGGCATGTGCCACCACGCCTAGCTAATTTTTGTATGTTTAGTAGAGAGGGAGTTTCTCCATGTTGGTCAGGCTGGTCTCCCGACCTCAGGTGATCCGCCCACCTCCGCCTCCTGAAGTGCCGGAATTACAGGCGTGAGCCACCGGCCTAAAAGGCATTTTAATGGGATGAGATGAAAACTCATCGCGATTGTAATTTACATTTCTCTGATGATGAGTGATGCCGAGTACTTTTTCATATACGTGATCGCCATTTCTATGTTTTGTTTGTGGAGAAATGTCTCCTCATGTCTTTTGCTCTTTTTTTGAATTAAATTGTTTTATTGAGTTGTTTGAGCTTCTTATATTTCCAGTTATTAATCCCGTCTCAGATGAATAGTTTGCAAATATTTGCTCCTATTTTGTCGGTTGTCTCTTCACTTTCTTGGTTTATCTTTTGTGGTGCAGAAGTTGCTTGGTTTGATGTAATCCTAATGGTCTATTTTTTGCTTTGATTACTTGTGTTTTGAAGGTTTTAAACAAAATGTCTTTCGTCAGACAAATGTCTTCCCCATTATTTTCTTCTACATGTTTCATAGGTTCAGGCCTTAGACTCATGTTTTTAATCCATTTTCATTTGATTTTTGTGTAAGGTGACAGGTATAGATGCAGTTTTATTCCTCTGCATGTAGATATCCAGTTTTCCCCACACCATTTATTGAAAAGACTGTCCTTTCCTGATTGTAAGTTCTCGGCACCTTTGTCAAAGTCCATTAAATGGGCTGGGTATGGTGGCTCACACCTGCAATTCCAGCACTTTGGGAGGCCGAGGCGGATGGATCACCTGAAGCCAGGAGTTCAAGACCAGGCTGGCCAACAGAGTGAAACCTCGTCTCTACTAAAAATACAAAAATTAGCTGAGCATGGTGACCAGTGCCTGTAATACCACTACTCGGGTGTTTGAGGCAAGAGAATTGCTTGAATCCAGGAAGTGGAGGTTGCATTGAGCTGAGATTGCACCTCTGCACTCCAGCCTGCATGACAGAGCAAGATTCTATCACACACACACACAAAAAAAGCCATTGGATGTAAATGCATGGATTATATCTGTGTTCTCCATTCTGTTCCATTTTTTATGTGCCTTTCTTTATGCCAATGTCATGCTGTTTTGCTTACTACAGCTCTGTAACATATTTCTAAGTCAGGTAGTGTGATGCTCCTGTTTTCTCTTTATACCTTCAAGTCTCAAGACAGTGGGCATCGCACACAAAAATTATGGAGAAGAGGATCCCAAGACTCCCAGGGTCCAACATTAGATAACAGAGTGTTGGCCATGAACCAACCTCAAAGATTTCCATTGAGTAGAGGACAAGCACCCTCATTTCCTCACATCTCTCCTGTCCCGTGTTCTAGGAAACCCTTCAAGTAGTTGGCCTTCACCCACAGAACCAAGCTCCAAATCTGGTGAGTAAAGGACCCCTCTTATCTCTGCTTTTGGAAACCTGGGGAGGTGGAAGCCTTGGATGCAAGTGTTGGCTCAAACCTCCCAGCTCTGTGAATGAGGGCCTGTCTTCCACCATCTCTGAACTCCAGACACTCCAACAGTGAAAGGGATCTAGGGCCACCAAAGGGCTCAGCGAAGTCTCTTAACCTTTAATGTCCTGCAGGTGAGACCTCCTACAAGCTAGAAGAATGATTGCCAATCTGACATCCTTCTCAGGAAACATGCAGTGTTTTTTCTTCCTGCATTCCTAACTGGAGGATAAATTCCTGGGGACTTGAGAGAGGGAAGGGAAGGGAACATCTGATGAGGGCGAGGTGTTTTAGAGAAGTTCCACTTGCCAAGGAATGAATTACTGTTGGTCATGAAGCAACCCTGGCTGACTCAGCAGAGCAAGAGCCTTGCCGTAATAGAGAACAGAGCTCATGCACGCACACTTCGACTCACTGACTCATTCAGCCACAGCCCCATGCTCAGGCTGTGCAGTTGGAATCCTTTCCTATTGTTGCCATAACAAATTTCCACAAGATTCGTGGGTGAAAACAAAGCGGCTTTTTAATTATCTTACAGTGCTGTAGCTCAAAGTATGAAGTGCATCTCACTGGGCTAAAAACAAGGTGACAGCAAGGCTGCCTTCCCTTGCCTGAGGATTCCAGGCAAGAATCTGCTTCTCACTTGTCCCATCTTATAAAGGCTCCCAGTTCCTTGGCTCCTGGTCCCCTTCCTCCTTCCTCAAAGCCCACAAAGGCTGGTCACATCTCACATGGCATCACTCAGACCCTTCTTCCTTACCACACCTCTTTCTCTGAATGCTGCTCTCCCTTCTTCCTTATCTTTTGAAAACTTGGGGATTCTATTGGGTTCACCAAGATGAAAATCCATCATAATCTCCCGGAAATCATTCAGGATACCCTTGTTTTAAGTTCAGCTGACTAGCAACCGTAATTCCATCTGCAATCTTCATTCCTTCTTTCCATGTAAAATAACATATTCACAAGCTATGGAGGCCAGGACAGGGACATTTTGGGGTGGGACAGCATTCTCCTGCCTTCCACGAACGGTGAACAAGATGCATTTGGCCTCTGCTCTTGGGACACTGATATTGCAGATGGTTAAATGGGAGGGCAGAAAATGAATGCACAAGTGGACCAATAAATGAATGATCCATTGGGAAGCATCTGTGTATGAAATCTATTTGTTTGTTCGTTCATTTATTTATTGAGACAGAGTCTCCCTCTGTCTTCCAGGCTACAGTGCAGTGTCACGATCTTGGCTCACTGCAACCTGCGTCTCCTGGATCCAAGTGATTCTCCTGCCTCCGCCTCTCGAGTAGCTGGGATTACAGGCAACTGCCACCATGCCCGGCTAATTCTTTTTGTATATTTTTTGTAGAGAGGATGTTTCACCATATTGGCCAAGCTTGTCTGAAACTCCCAACCTCAAGTGATCCGACCATCTCAGCAACCCAAAGTACTGGGATTACAGGCGTGAGCCACTTTGCCCAGCCAGAATTCAAAATAAATAATAGATAATGCTGAGTGTATAATTTTGGGTGACAGAGAAGGTCTCACTAATCAGATATTTGTGACATTAATGAAAAACACGGATTGAACCCCTGAAAGATTGGCGGAAGGATTTTCCACACAGCTGTCAGCTGTGAAGGCACAAAGGTGAAAACAATCTGATGTTGAAGGAAGAGGCTCTGACTCAAATGCTGGGAATGAAGTGGGGAGAATGACAAGACGACTGTGGAGAGACGGAGAGCACACTGGGTACACAGGAAACTAAGGAGCAACAAGGAGTGTGTGTTTGACACTCACAGCCCTTGGATTCACCTCGGGGTAACCAGGAATCCCTACATGATTAATAGTGACTGACATGAAAATAAGGGAGGCCCAGGTGCGTAACTGGAATCTAGGAGACCGTGGAAAAGGCAATTCCCGCCCCACTGGTGAAATGTGGTGCTGATTTAGACCCTAAGTGGATGAAGCAGATGGATATAAGCTATGCTTGGGAGGTAGAATCATTTGCAGGGAGGGCTTGCTGGGTTTGAGTTTCCTAGTTGTTTAATCCTTGCTAAATTAATTTCTTTCTGAGATTTATTCCTCCTACACATAAATCAATACCTGGCAAAGGAGTGACAGATATATGAGGGGTGGTGGAAATGAAGGGACCTATTATAGCATAGTATACAAGTCTGTGAACGGTGGCTCACTCCTGTAACCCAGCACTGCAGGAGGCTAAGGCCAGTGGATTCCAAGAAGTCAGGAGTTCGAGACCAGCCTGGCCAACATGGTGAAACCCTATCTCTACATGGTGAAACCCTATCTCTCCTAAAAATACAAAAATTAGCCGAGCATGGTGGTGCATCCCTGTAATCCCAGCTCCTGCTCTGGAGGATGAAGCAGGAGAATGACTTCAACCCAGGAGATGGAGGTTGCAGTGAGTGGAGATCGCATCACTGCACTCCAGCCTGGGTGACACAAGGAGACTCCATCTCAAAAAATAAAAATAAGAAATGCATAAATATAATAAAACACACACGAATGACAAAGGCACCTGAATTCCCATCATCATTTTTCTATTTCTCTATAATTACTTCTTTGATCCTTTATCTTATCCATTAGGCAATCAGCCTAAAACCTCTTCCGTATTTGGCTTTCTGTGAGCATGAGATCATATAGAAAATGTGAAAGCCCGCTGAATCCTCCAGCACAAATCCTGGAATAGAGAAAGTGCTCTCGTCATCACAAAAAAAACTTGCCCCCTCACCCAAATCCCCCATCTCACCCCTACTTCCAATCACCTGTGGAGATACAGATAGATCATGGGGAGGTAAATGCTAATACTCCTTGGAGTGAGTCCAGATCTTGGAATCAGAGATCAGCGACAGCACTAGCTCCTGCTCCCCTTTCCTACTAATTCACAGGAGGACAGGTGGTATTGAAGCAATAGATAGTCGAGGGGGTGGTCCTTCCCCCAGCCTCTCAGGTAGAACAGCAGCCTAACATGTGTCTCCCGAGATCACAAAGAGTAGCACATTTCACACGGGCTTCAACACTATTTTCTGGCTGTTTGACATAAGAGAATTCTACTTCGCTTTTTTTATATTGATTTCACTTTTGTTTCCTTTTCTTGGAGAATGCAAGTTGTTTAACTCAAGAATGCCGTGGATGTAGAAATCCTAAAGCACATTCGCTGTGTATCAATCCCAGTCCAGTCTTCCCAGAGAAGACTCTAAACACCTCCTGGACTGCACCTGGGCCTATGCCAATTCCTATCACTCACCGTCACTCCAGGGAGACAGAACACACAGAGAATACGTTACATAGGCAGGTTCATTACTAACAGATAAGCAGCGAGTGACAACAGAAGCCTACATTTCAATGTGAGCCAGTTCCCCAAGGCTCAGAAAAGCTGCTCGAGACATGTGGAGTCACCCCATTTGCAGTGTAGCTGGGGGAAGCCAGAAAGCAGCCCAGCCTGGGTTTTGTACCCTGGAGCCACAGGAAGCACTCAGCTAAAGCACTGCATGACGTCCTCCTCCAGGAAGAACAGGAAGACAGCCCAGGCTGTTCTGGGACGATCCTCCTGATCTCAGGACTTTGCTGTCTTAGTCCATTTTTGTTGCTCTAAAGGAACACTTGAGCCTGGGTAACTTCTAAAGAAGAGATTGGTTTGCCTCACCATTCTGCAGGCTGTACTGGAAGCATGGCACCAGCATCTATTTCTTATGATGGCCTCAGGCCGCTCCCACTCTGGCAGAAGGGAAGGAGGGTCTGTCTGTGCAGAGACCACAGAGATCACACGGCAAGAGAGGGAGCAAGGGGGAGGGGGAGCAATGGAGCTTCCAAGCTCTTTTTAACAACCAGCTCTCCAGGAACTAATAGAGAGGGAACTTGCTAACCCCGTCTCCTTGGGACAGCATTGATCTGTTCATGATGGATCCACCTCCATGACCCAAACACCTCCCAAGAGGCCCAACCTCCCACACTGGGGGTTAAATTTCAATGTGAGGTTTGAAGGGGTCAAACATCTCAACTAAAGTAGTTGTATCCTCAGCACGTTCCATGGTTACTATGAGAGCTATAACTGAGAAAGCAGGAGGAAGCTAGGTCTCCCGCCATCTGGGTGCTTGTCCGAAAGAGATGCTGTAAGTGGTTACCTGTCAATCAAGAAATGCAAGACAATTCATATAGAGAAACTGCTATGATTAGCTTCTTACTGGTGTCTCCTCTTCTTCCAGGTAACCCCAGACACCTGCACATTCTGATTGGGACCTCAGTGGTCATCATCCTCTTCATCCTCCTCCTCTTCTTTCTCCTTCATCTCTGGTGCTCCAACAAAAAAAGTAAGTCTCACGCGGCACAGGCCAGAGAGCTCAGGGCCATGTGGGGAAGCAGGATGGGAGCACACAGCTGTGTGTTCCTCACTGGCAGGATGGTCCCTGGCCCAAGACAGGAGCCACAGAGGCAGGACTTTCTAGAGAGAGCACCAGACTCCCTGCCCCTGCCTTCAGCTCACAGACCGTTGCCTGATTCTGAACTGTATCCTCATGTCCCCTGCAGCCACTCACATCCAGGAGAAGGTTCCATGACAGGCAGAAAGTGGGAGACAGAATCAATGGGATGGGAACTCAGAGCTATTCATGGGATGGGTCCTTGAGCTCAGAGAGATAGAATGTCTGAGTCTGCTGTTGGCAACTGAGGGACCTCAGGCACCTATGGCCTCCCCCTGTTTGTTGGTATCTGCTTATGAAATGAGGACCCAGAAGTGCCCTCCGAGCTCTTTTGTTGACTTCCGTCTCCTACAGATGCTGCTGTAATGGACCAAGAGCCTGCAGGGAACAGAACAGCCAACAGCGAGGTAGGTGCTCCTCGGCCCAGCCTCATGGCTAGTGTTATTCCCAAACAGTCCTGGAAAACGTGAGCACCCTCCCTCACTCAGCATTTCCCTCCCTCACTCAGCATTTCCCTCTCTCCAGGACTCTGATGAACAAGACCCTGAGGAGGTGACATACGCACAGTTGGATCACTGCGTTTTCACACAGAGAAAAATCACTCGCCCTTCTCAGAGGCCCAAGACACCCCCTACAGATACCATCTTGTACACGGAACTTCCAAATGCTAAGCCCAGATCCAAAGTTGTCTCCTGCCCATGAGCACCACAGTCAGGCCTTGAGGGCGTCTTCTAGGGAGACAACAGCCCTGTCTCAAAACCGAGTTGCCAGCTCCCATGTACCAGCAGCTGGAATCTGAAGGCGTGAGTCTTCATCTTAGGGCATCGCTCCTCCTCACGCCACAAATCTGGTGCCTCTCTCTTGCTTACAAATGTCTAGGTCCCCACTGCCTGCTGGAAAGAAAACACACTCCTTTGCTTAGCCCACAGTTCTCCATTTCACTTGACCCCTGCCCACCTCTCCAACCTAACTGGCTTACTTCCTAGTCTACTTGAGGCTGCGATCACACTGAGGAACTCACAATTCCAAACATACAAGAGGCTCCCTCTTGACGTGGCACTTACCCACGTGCTGTTCCACCTTCCCTCATGCTGTTTCACCTTTCTTCGGACTATTTTCCAGCCTTCTGTCAGCAGTGAAACTTATAAAATTTTTTGTGATTTCAATGTAGCTGTCTCCTCTTCAAATAAACATGTCTGCCCTCATTGCTTCAGGTAATGTGACACTGTATTCGCTGAAAGAAACCGCTGTTATCATTACCATGTCCACATAACCCCATCTGTTCTCCGCTGGGTTCTCACCCCTGGACTCTGAGCTTCTGGAAGCAGGGTGGAGCCTCATTTGTCTCTGGGACTCCAATTTCCATCCAAAGATGCAGCACATAGGAGGTTCCAAGGATCGTGAATCACATGAACAAGTGATATTCTTACTCTCTGCAACCTGGAAAGCTGGCAGAGTCATTCCACGATGAAACATTTGTAGAGTCATAAGCCTTGCTAGTCTCATCTCCACGGGGACACATATCAACACATCATATTTCATACTATAAATATACAGTCGCTCCTCCATATCTGTGGGGTTTACAGGTGTTTATTGAACCAAGTGTAAATCAAAAATATTCAGAGAAAATGTCCACAAAGTTTCAAAATGCAAAACTATGTTGAATGGACACAAATGAGGCAGTGTGTAGGCTGTATCAGGAATTATAAGTAATCAAGAGATGATTTCATGTATACAGGAGGATGTGCATGGGTTATATCCAAATGCTGTGTCATTTTATGTAAGAGGCTTGAGCATCTGCAGATTTTGGTACCTGAGTGGAGATCCTGAAACCAATCACCCACGAATAGTAAAGGATGACCGTATATGACTTTTATTTCTCAATTTTAAATATAAATCATAAAAAATGTACAATAACTAGATAAAAAGTAAGAAGTGTTTTTATAGTGTGAGAATAAGTTTAGATTTATTTTTTCCTACGTGTAACCCTTTGGTTTAATATTATTTATTGAGAAGACATTCTATGCCACCTTAAACCACACGGCAGCCTTTGTCAACTCTAAAGGGACTGTGTGTACACGGATGTATTTTAGACACTGTTTCTGCTAAGGGGCTCTCTGTGTCCACACTCTTGAGGATGCTGCACTTCATGTAGCCTTATAAAACCCTTTAAATTTAGTAGCCAGAGCCCTCTAATTTGTTATTATAGGCTACTTGCTATTTTTTTTTCTTGAGGCGGAGTCTTGCTCTGTCGCCCAGGCTGGACTGCAGTGACACAATCTCAGCTCACTGCAACTTCCGCCTCCCAGGTTCAGGCGATTCTCGTGCCTCAGTCTCTTGAGTAGCTGGCGTTTCAGGTGCCTGCCACCAGGCATGGCTAATTTTTGAATTTTTAGCAGAGACGCGGTTTCACTGTGTTGGCCAGGCTGCTCTCAATCTCCTCATCTCAGTTGATCCGCCCACCTCGGCTTCCCGACCTGCTGGGGGAAACTTGATTTTCTATAGCATTATGTTACTGGATATTTCTGTAAAATTTAAAATGAGGGAGGCAGAGAGACAGAGAGAGAGCAAACTCCAAAGTTGGGACTCTGGAATCTTGAGTCATGAGACAAATTATAGATAAAACTACAAAAATCCAGAATTTACATGTGTGGTTTTTGCTGATAAAGTACAATTCTAAGATTGTAAATAATTGCATAATCCTTCCCTGGGAATTTAAATCATTTGAACTGGTTCTGCTGTAATACTAGAAATACAAGCATGAACAATTCTAATGGTTTATTAGTCACAATGACTCTGAAAACACTAATAATACCTATTAGATATTTTGCATATTACACAGGAAGAAGAGTTCGAATCTCAGATAAAAACAATAAAAATTCATGAAAAGTCTTTCATGTTAGCACAGATTTTAGGCATCTCATGTTTGGGAGGTTGGATCTAAGACGTGTTTTGAGTTGGTCATAGTGAAGGACGCGAGGTGTCAATTCTAGTGAGAGCAATTTCCAGGAAGCCATGTTCCGCTCTTGAGCGAGCACCCACTGGGCCTCATGCAAGGTAGAAAAAGCCTGCGTACGTCACCCTCCCATGATGTGGTCAACATGTAAACTGCATGGGCAGGGCGCCAAATAACATCCTGTGCGCTGCTGAGCTGAGCTGGGGCGCGGCCGCCTGTCTGCACCGGCAGCACCATGTCGCTCATGGTCATCATCATGGCGTGTGTTGGTGAGTCCTGGAAGGGAATAGAGGGAGGGAGCGTGGGGATGGAGATCTGGGCCCAGAGGTGGAGATATGGGCCTGGAGGTGGAGTTATGGGCCTGGAGTGGAGATCTGGGCCTGGAGTGGAGATCTGGGCCTAGAGATGGAGTGATGGGCCTAGAAGTGGAGATCTGCGCCTGGAGTGGAGATCTGGGCCTGGAGTGAAGATCTGGGCCTGGAGTGGAGATATGGGCCTGGAGTGGGGATAGGAACCTGGAGTGGAGAGAGGAACCTGGAGGAGAGATAGGAACCTGGAGGGGAGGTAGGAGCCTAGGGTGGAGATATGGGACTGGAGTGGAGATATGGGACTGGAGTGGAGATATGGGCCTGGAGTGGAGTTATGGGCCTGGAGTGAAGTTATGGGCCTGGAGGTGGAGATATGGGCCTGGAGTGGAGATATGAGCCTGGAGTGGAGATATGGTCCTGGAGTGGAGATATGGGCCTGGAGTGGAGATATGGGTCTGCAGTGGAGTTATGGGCCTGGAGTGAAGTTATGGGCCTGGAGGTGGAGATATGGGCCTGGAGTGGAGATATGGGACTAGAGTGGAGATAGGGGCCTGGAGGTGGAGATCTGGGCCTGGAGTGGAGATCTGGGCCTGGAGTGGAGATCTGGGCCTGGAGTGGAGATATGGGCCTGGAGTGGAGATATGGGTCTGCAGTGGAGATATGGGCCTGGAGGTGGAGATATGGGCCTGGAGTGGAGTTATGGGCCTGGAGTGAAGTTATGGGCCTGGAGGTGGAGATATGGGCCTGGAGTGGAGATATGGGACTAGAGTGGAGATAGGGGCCTGGAGGTGGAGATCTGGGCCTGGAGTGGAGATATGGCCCTGGAGTGGAGATATGGGCCTGGAGTGGAGATATGAGCCTGGAGTGGAGATATGGCCCTGGAGTGGAGATATGGGCCTGGAGGTGGAGATATGGGCCTGGAGTGGAGTTATGGGCCTGGAGTGAAGTTATGGGCCTGGAGGTGGAGATATGGGCCTGGAGTGGAGATATGGGACTAGAGTGGAGATACGGGCCTGGAGGTGGAGATCTGGGCCTGGAGTGGAGATATGGCCCTGGAGTGGAGATATGGGCCTGGAGTGGAGATATGAGCCTGGAGTGGAGATATGGCCCTGGAGTGGAGATATGGGCCTGGAGTGGAGATATGAGCCTGGAGTGGAGATATGGCCCTGGAGTGGAGATATGGGCCTGGAGTGGAGATATGGGCCTGGAGTGGAGATATGGGTCTGGAGTGGAGATATGGGCCTGGAGGTGGAGATATGGGCCTGGAGTGGAGATATGGGCCTGGAGGTGGTGATATGGGCCTGGAGTGTAGATATGGGCCGAGTGGAGATATGGTTCTGGAGTGGAGATATGGGCCTGGAGTGGAGATATGGGACTGGAGTGGAGATATAGGCATGGGGTGGAGACATGGGCCGGGAGTGGAGATATGGGACTGGAGTGGAGATACGGGCATGGGGTGGAGATATGTGCCTGGAGGTGGAGATATGGGCGTGGGTTGGAGATATGGGCCTGGAGTGGAGATATGGGCATGGGGTGGAGATATGGGTCTGGAGTGGAGACATGGGCATGGGGTGGAGATATGGGCCTGGTGTGTAGATATGGGCCTGGAGTGGAGATATGGCCCTGGAGTGGAGATATGGGCCTGGAGTGGAGATCTGGGCCTACGGTGAAGATATGGGCCTAGGATGGGGATATGGGCCTGGAATGGAGATATGGGCCTGGGTGTGGAGATATGGGACTGGAGTGGAGATATGGGCCTGATGTGGAGATATGGGCTTGGAGTGGAGATATGATCCTGGAGTGTAGTTATGGGCCTGGAGGTGGAGATCTGGGCCTGGGGTGGAGATATGGGCCTGGAGTGGAGATATGGGACTGGAGAGGAGATATGGGCCTGGAGTGGAGATATGGGCCTGGATTGGAGATATGGGCCTAGGGTGGAGATCTGAGCCTGGATTGGAGATGTGGGCCCGGATTGGCTATATGGGTCTAGGGTGGAAATATCGGCCTGGAGTGGAGATATGGGCCTGGAGTGGAGATATGGGCTTGGGGTGGGGATATGGGCCTGGAGGCTGGGTCTCTGCACAGCCGAGAGCACTGTTCTTGGGTGCAGGTAGGCACTGATGGTGAGTTTCCCTTCGGCCCAGGAAGGGGCTGGCTATCAAGACTCACAGCCCAGTGGGGGCAGCAAGGAAGGCCTTGTTTGCCTGCAAATGGATCTTCCATCATGATCTTTCTTTCCAGGGTTCTTCTTGCTGCAGGGGGCCTGGCCACAGGAGGGTAAGTCCTTCTCCAAACCTTAGGGTGTCATCTCCCCACATAAGAGGATTTTCCTGAAACGGGAGGGAAGTCCTGTCAGGGAGTCTCTTATAAACTAGGAAGAGGGGACCCTGGGGTGCTCGGCCCACAGTTCCGACCTTGCCTCCCTGGCCTCTCAACCCCTTGGCAGAGTCAAGTTGTGTGGGGACCAGGGTTGGACTAGGGTGTTCAAAGCTGGGTTGTGTGGTGGGGAAGTGGTAGGAACAGCAGATCCTCTGAGGACAAAGGTGTTACTCACACACTTCAGCGTTTCCATGATGGTAGGGGCTGCAGTGTGGCTGCTGTCATTCTACCAGAAGAGGTGGGAAACCACAGCCATGGCCCTGACATTCCAAATCCTCTGATGGGGGCTAAGTTTTTTATTTTCATTCAGGCAACTGCTGATATTCCATTCTCAAAGGACATGCCCTCCACTTCATGTCTACCCTGTGTTGTTTTATGTGAGTAATCTTACAGTATTAAAATCTAGTAGGAGTCTCTTACTCAGCACTTGCTCAAAGTTCTCAGCTGACACTTTTGTTGTACGGAGACACCTTGTCTTTGTGGGATGGGTCCTTCCTTTAGCCCTAGGCACCAAGGTGTGATAGCAGCCATAGAAATGTGGAAAGTGGGGAGAATCTTCTGAGCACAGGGAGGGAGGCACAGCTCCACATCCTCCTCTCTAAGGCGGCGCCTCCTTCACCCCAAGGTGGTCAGGACAAGCCCTTGCTTTCTACCTGGCCCAGCCTTGTGGTGCCTCCAGAACATGTGACTCTTCAGTGTCACTCTAATCTTGGGTTTAACAACTTCAGTCTGTACAAGGATGATGGGGTGCCTGTCCCTGAGCTGTACAACAGAATATTCTGGAAAAGCCTTTTCATGGGCCCTGTGACCCCGTCACATGCAGGGACCTATAGATGCCGGGGTTCACACACACACTCCCCCAGTGGGTGGTCGGCACCCAGCAACCCCCTGGTGATTATGGTCACAGGTCAGAGGGCTCCTGTCTGGGATTCTCCTTGTCCCACCTCCTGAATCCCAGAGCTTCTGGTAGGCATGTCCTTGAGGGTCCCATCACGCAGGCCCTAACTGTATTTGGGGTAAAGGGGGATTGAATACAGGGAAATGGGTGCTGTGGTGGGAAGAATAAGTGTCCCCAATGATGACTGCATTCTAATCCCTGGAGTCTGTGACTATTTATGTTATAGGGGAAGGGACTGAAGGGGAAGATGGAGCTCAGGTTGTTGATGAGTTGACCTTGAGATGGGGAGACAGCCTGGACTGTCCCGGTGGGCTCAGTATAATCACAAGGGTCCACATGAAAGGAGGAGGAAGAGGAGAGTGGGGATTAGAGCAGCGTAGTGGGAGACTCCATCAGCTTTGAAGGTGGATGAAGGCCATAAGCCATGAATGCAGGTGGCCTATAGAGGCTGGGAAAGTCAAGTAACTGATTCTCCTGAGTCTCCAGAGGGAACACAGCCCTGCAGATGCCTTGATTTTAGCCCTCGAAAAACAGCGTCCGCTTTCTGTCTCCAGAATCGGAGGGGGTCAGTGTGCTCTCTCCTGCTGCCATGCTTCTGATAATTTTCTACAGCAGCAACAGGAAACCAACACTGGAACCCAGGTCAAGGACAAGTTAAGAAAAGACACAAGGATAGCCAGGCATGGTGGCAGGTGCATGTAATCCTAGCGACTCGGGAGGCTGAGAGCAGGAGAATCGCTTGAACCCAGGAGACAGAGGTTGCAGTGAGCGTAGACCACACCACTTCACTCCAGCCTGGGCGAAGGAGTGAGACTCTGTCTCCAAAATTAATTAATTAATTAAAGAAACCAAACAAAGAGAAGGTTGGCTACACCGAGATCAGCAAGGGTGGGATGATGATGCTACCACCAGGCTCCATCCACATAGGGAGGGGTTGATACTCCTCAAATCAGCACGAGGAGCCAGCCTATGGAAACTGGCACCATGGAGAAGGCACAGACATGGCAAGAGTGGCTCCCAGTCCCCACCAGGAACAGGGTGTGTGGACACTGGTGCCTGCCTTACTGATCAGTTCATACCTCCTGCCAAGGATTCCAATTCGTCCAAAAGAGATTGAACCAGGCTGCTAAGAGCCGGGACGTGCAGCCTATCCTGCTTCCTCTTCCACTCCCACATAGACAGTAAGAAAGACATTAGTGTGAAATAGATACAACAGCCCAAGAGATGAGGCTGAGCCCAGTGGGAAGGGAATCACAGCTACTAGAGACAGAGGGACAGAGAAGAGGGAGGGAGACAGATGGAAGGACCTGCACCAGGAGTTATGGGCACAGAAAAGAACATGAAGACACAGAGAGGAAGCAGAGAGACAGACACCAGCGAAGGGAAGGCTCACTCATTCCAGGTGCCATGGATGGGATGATAAAGAGAGACACCTTCTAAACTCACAACCTCTCTTCCTAGAAGTCCACAGAAAACCTTCCTTCCTGGCCCTCCCAGGTCACCTGGTGAAATCAGAAGAGACAGTCATCCTGCAATGTTGGTCGGATGTCATGTTTGAGCACTTCCTTCTGCACAGAGAGGGGAAGTTTAACAACACTTTGCACCTCATTGGAGAGCACCATGATGGGGTTTCCAAGGCCAACTTCTCCATTGGTCCCATGATGCCTGTCCTTGCAGGAACCTACAGATGCTACGGTTCTGTTACTCACTCCCCCTATCAGTTGTCAGCTCCCAGTGACCCTCTGGACATGGTGATCATAGGTGAGAGTGTCCAGACATTCTTCTCATTGTCATTGGGATGCAGAGTGAATGATCCAGGACTTGGAGACCCAGGTGGTTGTAAGGAAGATGAGCTTGGTATTCTTATGGAGAGAGACTGACTTGGTGAGGTCTGTGCCAACAGAGACAGAGAAACAAGAGACACAAGTACAGACCAGGTGTCATAACAGAGGACAAACACAGGGGCCATACAGGGAGTTAGAAAAGACAGAAAGAGTTAAAGGAGACAGACAGACATGTCCCAGACAGAGGTGTCCTTCCATGCTGACTTTGCTCAGAGACCTGGCACAGGTTAGAAGTTTCATTTCTGTTTTACCTCCACAAAGTGTTCTCTACCAGGAGAACCCAAGGACACCCATATTTCTGACCTGAGTTGGGCCCTGTGGCCTCAGGCCTTGTGGCACCTACAGATGCCATGCTTATTCTGACACCTCTGACTTCCATGCAATGGAGAATAATCGTCCCAAAATATCATGGCCCCAGAACACCAACCCCTGTATGCTGTGTGAACTTGTGGTCTCCAGACTGGATTCTGAGGCTCACATTCCAAATAACCCCACATATCACATATGAGAGGATCACTGAGAAGCACAGAGAGAAATCAGGGACACCAAAAAGCAAAGACATAAACACACAGAGAAAGAGCCAGAGGAAGGAGATTGAGAGACTCACAGACACATAAAGAGAGAGAAGAGGGCAGAGAAGTGGAGAGAATGATGGAAGAGAGCAGAGAAAACCACTAAAATTAGAGTCCTGAGGGCGAGGCACAAGGGCATAGAAAGATGGAGATGTGGGGATGAATTGCAGAGATTCCAAAGAGAACTAGAGAGACCGAGAGGCAGAGCAAGACAGATGATAGATGGATAGATACAGATAGATGATGGATAGATATAGATAGATGATATATAGGTAGATGATAGATAATAGGTTATAGATACATAGATGATGATTGATTGATTCATTAATAGATGATACATAGAGATGATGATGATGAAGGTAGATGGATAGATAATACATAGAGATAGAGAGGAAGACAAAGAGAGAAATAATAGAGAGAGAGAGATGATACATATATATAGATAATAGATGATTGACGGATAGACAATTGATAGATAAATAGATGATATATAGATATAGATGACAGGTAGAGAATTTGTAGATAGGCACCGAATAGATAAATAGATGGATTGATAGATAATAGATAGAAATATGCAGAAAGTTATGAACGGGACACAAACTGAGAAACTCAGAGTTAAAAAAAGTAACATCAAGTCAACCAATCCAAGGAGAGCCAGAGAGAATAAAACAATCCAAAAACGGAAAACATAACTAGAGGTAGGGAAGTGAGGTCAGAGACCTACAGAGACAGAGAAGGTGGAAGGAGGAAATAGACATGAAGAGAGATGGGGTGGAGGGTGAGACAGAGAAAGAGAGCATTAGGCCATAGAGCAGGGGAGTGAGTTCTCAGGTCAGGTGTGAGGGGAGCTGTGACAAGGAAGATCCCCCCTGAGGAAACTGCCCCTTCTCCTTCCAGGTCTATATGAGAAACCTTCTCTCTCAGCCCAGCCGGGCCCCACGGTTCAGGCAGGAGAGAATGTGACCTTGTCCTGCAGCTCCATCTATCCAGGGAAGGGGAGGCCCATGAACGTAGGCTCCCTGCAGTGCGCAGCATCAACGGAACATTCCAGGCCGACTTTCCTCTGGGCCCTGCCACCCACGGAGGGACCTACAGATGCTTCGGCTCTTTCCGTGACGCTCCCTACGAGTGGTCAAACTCGAGTGATCCACTGCTTGTTTCCGTCACAGGTGAGGAAACCCCATATCTGTCCCATGTCCTATGATCCTAGAGCCTTAGCTGAGGAGCTTCCTGCTGATGATGGAGAGAAGCATGGACAGATGCAGAGAGAAGACGCAGCATGCCTGTGAGGGAGGGATCAGGGCGCAGGATGGCACACACAGCACCTCCAAACCCTCCTGCATGGCCTGCATGGAGGCCTCCGATTAGGGCTCCAGGCACCCAGGCAGATGTAGAAAGCGGTCAGGAGAGACCCAGAGCAGGGGAGACTGGGCTCAGTTTGGGGAGATCAGAGGTTCCCTCAGCCCCTCAACCTTACCCATTTCCCAGAAGCCCTTCCTGGCCTCTCACCCACACAGAGATGTCATCACCAGCAACCCCTACATCCTTTTCTTTTTGTTTGAAAAAATATTCATTGAGGTTAAATATACCTATATAGCTTACCACTTTTAACATTTTTTTTTTTTGAGGTGGAGTCTAGCTCTGTCTCCTATGCTGGAATGCAGTGGCACAATCTCAGCTCACTGTAACCTCCGCCTCCTGGGTTCAAGCGATTCTCCTGCCTCAGCCACCTGAGTAGCTGGTACTACAGGCGCCCATCACCACGCCAGGCTACTTTTTGTATTTTTAGTAGAGAGGGGGTTTCACCATGTTGGTCGAGCTGCTCTGGAACTCCTGACCACGTGATCCACCCGCCTCAGGCTCCCAAAGTGCTGGGATTACAGGCATGAGCCACCGCGCCCGGCCACGTTTACCAATTTTAAGTGTAAGGTCTAGTGGTCATAAATACATACATATAAATTTTTTGTTTGTTTGTTTTATCCTCCACCCTTTTCTTCCTGGCCTCTGGTAGCCACCATTCTACTCTCTATCTTCATGAGATCCACCTTTTAGCTCCTGTATATGGGTGAGAAATGGGAATCTTTGTAATGACTTCCAGTTCCATCCATGTGGCTGCAAATATCAGGATGTTATTCTTTCTATGGATGAGTAGTCTCCGCTGTGCGTATGTACTACATTCTCTCTATCCATTCATCCACTGATGGGCAGGTAGGTTGACTCCACATCTTGGCTACTGTGAAGAGTGCTGCACCAATCATACGAGTGCAGATATCACTTCGATACATTGATTTACTTTCCTTTGGATATAAACCCAGTAGTGAAATTGCTGGATACTATGAAAGTTCTCTTTTTAGTTTTTCGTTTGTTGTTTTGTTTTTGTTTTTGAGACAGTTTCCCTCTGTGCCCAGGCTGGAGTACAAGTGATGTGATCTTGGCTCATTGCAACCTCCGCTTCCTGGGTTCAAATGATTTTCCTGCCTCAGCCTCCCTAGTAGCTGGGATTACAGGTGCACGCCACCATGCCGGGATACTTTTTGGTTTTTTTTAGTGTACATGGGGTTTCCCCAGGTTGGCTAGGCTGCTCTCAAACTCATGACCTCAACTGAGGTGCCCGCCTCGGTCTCCCAAAGTGCCGGGATTACAGGCATGATCCACTTCATCCAACCTCTTTTTAGTTCTTTAAAGGACTTCCATACTTTTCTCCGTAATGGCTGTACTAATTTACACTCCTACCAACAGGGTACCAGGGTTCTCCTTTCTCTACCACCTTGCCAGCATTTCTTTTGCCTGTCTTGCAGCTAAAAGCCATTTTATTTTATTTCATTTTATTTTGAGATGGAGTTTCGCTCTTCTCACCCAGGCTGGAGTGCAGTGGTGCGATCTCGGCTCACCGCAACCTCCACCTCCCAGGTTCAAGCGATTCTCCTGCCTCAGCCTCCCGAGTAGCTGGAATTACAGGCACACGCCACCACGCCCGACTAATTTTTGTATTTTTAGTAGAGACAGCGTTTCTCCATGTGGGTCAGACTGGTCTCAAACTCCCGACCTTATGAGATTCGCCCACCTCGGGCTCTCAGAGTTCTAGGATGACAGACGTGAGCCACCTCGCCCGGCCTAAAAGCCATTTTAATGGGGTGAGATGAAAACTCACTTTGATTTTAATTCGCGTTTCTCTGATGATGAGTGATACTGAGCACTTTTTCGTATGTGGGGAAATTTCATGTCTTTTGCTCCTTTTTCAATTAAATCATTTGTTTTATTGAGTTGTTTGAGCTTCTTATACTTCTAGTTATTAATCCCGTCTCAGATGCATAGTTTGCACATATTTGCTCCCAATCTGTGGGTTGTCTCTTCACTTTGTTGGTTTATTTTTAGCGGTGCAGAAGTTGCTTAGTTTGAGGTAATCCCAATGGTCTATTTTTGCTTCGATTACTTGTGTTTTGAAGGTTTAAAACAAAATGTCTTCCTTCAGACAAATGTCCTGGAGCATTTCCCCAATATTTTCTTCTACGTGTTTCACAGGTTCAGGCCTTAGACTCACATCTTTAATCCACTTTCATTTGATTTTTGTGTATGGTGACAGGTAGAGGTGCAGTTTCATTCCTCTGCATGTAGATGTCCAGGTTTCCCTGCACTGTTTATTGAAAAAACTGTCCTTTCCTGATTGTGAGTTCTTGGCACCTTTGTCAAAGTCCATTGGATGGGCTGGGCATGGTGGCTAACACCAGCAACTTCAGCACTTTGGGAGGCCAAGGCTGGTGGATCACCTGAGGACAGGAGTACAAGATTACTCTGGCCGACGTGATGAAACATCGTCTCCACTAAAAATATAAAAATTAGCTGAGCATGGTGGTCAGCACCTGTAATACTACTACTCAGGAGTTTGAGGCAAGAGAATTGATTGAACCCAGGAGGCTGAGGTTGCAGTGAACCGAGATTGCACCTCTGCACTCCAGCCTGGGTGACAGAGCGAGACTCCATCTCAAAAGAAAAAATAAAAAAAATTGGATGTAAATGCATGGATTATATCTGTGTTCTTCATTCTGCTCCGTTGTTCTATGTGCCTTTCTTCATGCCAACATCATGCTGTTTTGCTTACTACAGCTCTGTAACATATTTTGAGATCAGGTAGTGTGATGCTCCTGTTTTCTCTTTATACCTTGAAGTCTCAAGACAGTGGGCGTCACATACAAAAATTATGGAAGAAAGGATCCCTGGACTCCCAGGGCCCAATGTTAGATAACAGAGTGTTGGCCATGAACCAAACTCAAAGATTTCCACTGAGTAGAGGACAGACACCCTCATTTCCTCACCTCTCTCCTGTCTCATGTTCTAGGAAACCCTTCAAATAGTTGGCCTTCACCCACTGAACCAAGCTCCAAAACCGGTGAGTACAGGACCCTCTTATATCCGCTTTTGGAACCCTGGGGAGGTGGAAACCTTGGATTCAGGCGTTGACTCAGCATCTCACAGCTCTGACATTGTACGCCTGTCTTCTACCATCTCCGAACTCCAGATACTCCAACAGCGAAAGGGATCTGGGCCCAACACAGGGCTCAGTGAAATCTCTTCATCTCTCATTTTATGGAGCTGAGACCTCCTACAAGCTAGAAGAATGATTGCCAATCTGACATCCTTCTCAGGAAAAATGCAATGTTTGTTCTGCTTGCATTCCTAACTGGAGGATAAATTCCTGGGGGCTTGAGAGAGGGAAGGGAAGCGAACATCTGATGAGGGCGAGGTGTTTTAGAGAAGTTCCACTTGCCAAGGAATGAGCTCCTGTTGGTCATGAAACAACCCTGGCTGACTCAGCAGAGCAAGAGCCTTGCCGTAACAGAGAACAGAGCTCATGCACGCACACTTTGACTCACTGACTTATTCAGCCACGGCCCCATGCTCAGGTTGTGCAGTGTGGAAGCTTTTCCTATTGTTGCCATAACAAATTTCCACAAGATTCGTGGGTGAAAACAAAACGGTTATTTAATTATCTTACAGTGCTCTAGCTCAAAGCATGAAGTGCATCTCACTGGGCTAAAATCAAGATGACAGCAAGCCTGCCTTCCCTCTGAGGATTCCAGGCAAGAATCTGCTTCTCACTTGTCCCATCTTATAAAGGCTCCCAGTTCCTTGGCTGCTGGTCCCCTTCCTCCTTCCTCAAAACCCACAAAGACTGGTCACATCTCACATGGCATCACTCAGACCCTTCTTCCTTACCACACCTCTTTCTCTGAATGCTGCTCTCCCTTCTTCCTCATCTTTTGAAAACTTGGGGATTCTATTGGGTTCACCAAGATGAAAATCCGTCATAATCTCCCGGAAATCATTCAGGATACCCTTGTTTTAAGTTCAGCTGATTAGCAACCATAATTCCATCTGCAATCTTCATTCCTCCTTTCCATGTAAAATAACATATTCACAAGCTATGGAGGCTAGGACAGGGACATTTTGGGGTGGGACAGCATTCTCCTGCCTTCCACAAATGGTGAACAAGATGCATTTGGCCTCTGCTCTTGGGACACTGATATTGCAGATGGTTAAATGGGAGGACAGAAAATGAATGCACAAGTGGACCAATAAATGAATGATCCATTGGGAAGCATCTGTGCATGAAATCTATTTGTTTGTTTGTTCGTTTGTTTATTGAGACAGAGTCTCCCTCTGTCTTCCAGGCTACAGTGCAGTGTCACGATCTTGGCTCACTGCAACCTGCGTCTCCTGGATCCAAGTGATTCTCCTGCCTCACCCTCTCGAGTAGCTGGGATTACAGGCAACTGCCACCATGCCCGGCTAATTCTTTTTGTATATTTTTTGTAGAGAGGATGTTTCACCATGTTGGCCAAGCTTGTCTGAAACTCCCAACCTCAAGTGATCCAACCATCTCAGCATCCCAAAGTACTGGGATAAAAGACGTGAGCCACTGTGCCCAGCCAGAATTCAAAATCAATAATAGATAATGCTGAGTGTATAATTTTGGGTGACAGAGAAGGTCTCACTAATCAGATATTTGTGACATTAATGAAAAACACGGATTGAACCCCTGAAAGATTGGCGGAAGGATTTTCCACACACAGCTGTCAGCCGTGAAGGCAGAAAGCTGAAAACAATCTGATGTGGAAGGAAGAGGCTCTGCCTGAAATGCTGGGAATGAGATGGGGAGAATGACAAGACAACTGTAGAGAGACGGAGAGCACACTGGGTACACAGGAAACTAAGGAGCAACAAGGAGTGTGTGTTTGACACTCACAGCCGTTGGATTCACCTCGAGGTAACCAGGAATCCCTACATGATTAATAGTGACTGACATGAAAATAAGGGAGGCCCAGGTGCGTAACTGGAATCTAGGAGACTGTGGAAAAGGCAATTGCCACCCCACTGGTGAAATGTGGTGCTGATTTTGACACTAAGTGGATGAAGCAGATGGATATAAGCTATGTTTGTGAGGTAGAATCATTGGCTGGAAAGGCTTGCTGGGTTTGATTTTCCTACTTGTTTAATCCTCGCTTAATTAATTTCTTTCTGAGATTTATTCATCCTACACATAAATCAATACCTGGCAAAGGAGTGACAGATATATGAGGGGTGGTGGAAATGAAGGGACCTATTATAGCATAATATACAAGTCTGTGAACGGTGGCTCACGCCTGTAACCCAGCACTGCAGGAGGCCAAGGCGGGTGGATTCCATGAAGTCAGGAGTTCCAGACCAGCCTGGCCAACATGGTGAAACCCTGTCTCTACTAAAAATACAAAAATTAGCCGAGCATGGTGGTGCATCCCTGTAATCCCAGCTCCTACTCTGGAGGATGAAGCAGGAGAATGACTTCAACCCAGGAGGTGGAGGTTGCAGTGAGTGGAGATTGCATCACTGCACTCCAGCCTGGGTGACACAAGGAGACTCCGTCTCAAAAAATAAAAATAAGAAATGCATAAATATAATAAAACACACACGAATGACAAAGGCACCTGAATTCCAATCATCATTTTTCTATTTCTCTATAATTACTTCTTTGATCCTTTATCTTATCCATTAGGCAATGAGCCTAAAACCTCTTCCCTATTTGGCTTTCTGTGAGCATGAGATCACATAGAAAATGTGAAAGCCCGCTGAATCCTCCAGCACGGATCCTGGAATAGAGAAAGTGCTCTGGTCATCGCAAAAAAAAACTTGCCCACTCACCCAAATCCCCCACCTCACCCCTACTTCCAATCACCTGTGGAGATTCAGATAGACCATGGGGAGGAAACATTAATACTCCTTGGAGTGAGTCCAGATCTTGGAATCAGAGATCAGCGACAGCACTAGCTCCTGTTCCCCTTTCCTACTAATTCACAGGAGGACAGGTGGTATTGAAGCAATAGATGGTGGAGGGGGTGGTCCTTCCCCCAGCCTCTCGGGTAGAACAGCAGCCTAACATGTGTCTCCCGAGATCACAAAGAGCAGCACATTTCACACGGGCTTCAACACTATTTTCTGGCTGTTTGACATAAGAGAATCTTGCTTCGCTATTTTTAATCGTGATTTCACCTTTGTTTCCTTTCCTTGGTGAATGCAATTTGTTTGACTCAAGAATGCTGTGGATGTAGAAATCCTAAAGCACATTCGCTGTGTATCAATCCCAGTGCAGTCTTCCCAGAGAAGACTCTAAACAAATCCTGGACTGCACCTGGGCCTATGCCAATTCCTATCACTCACCGTCACTCCAGGGAGACAGAACACACAGAGAATACGTTACATAGGCAGGTTCATTACTAACAGATAAGCAGTGAGTGACAACAGAAGCCTGCATTTCAATGTGAGCCAGTCCCTCAAGGCTCAGAAAAGCTGCTCGGGACATATGGAGTCACCCCATTTGCAGTGTAACTGGGGGAAGCCAGAAAGCAGCCCAGCCTGGGTTTTGTACCCTGGAGCCACAGGAAGCACTCAGCTAAAGCACTGCATGACGTCCTCCTCCAGGAAGAACAGGAAGACAGCCCAGGCTGTTCTGAGACATTCCTCCTGATCTCAGGATGTTGCTATCTTAGTCCATTTTTGTTGCTCTAAAGGAACACTTGAGCCTGGGTAACTTCTAAAGAAAAGAGATTGGTTTGCCTCACAGTTCTGCAGGCTGTACTGGAAGCATGGCACCAGAATCTATTTCTCGTGATGGCCTCAGGCTGCTCCCACTCTGGCAGAAGGGAAGGAGGGTCTGTCTGTGCAGAGACCGCAGAGATCACACGGCAAGAGAGAGAGTAAGGGGGAGAGGGAGCGATGGAGCTTCCAAGCTCTTTTTAACAACCAGCTCTCCAGGAACTAACAGAGGGGGAACTTGCTAACCCCGTCTCCTTGGGACAGCATTGGTCTGTTCATGATGGATCCACCTCCATGACCCAAACACCTCTGAAGAGGCCCAACCTCCCACAATGGGGGTGAAATTTCAATGTGAGGTTTGAAAGGGTCAAACATCTCAACTAAAGTAGTTGTATCCTCAGCACGTTCTATGGTTACTATGAGAGCTATAATTGAGAAAGCAGGGGAAAGCTAGGTCTCCCGCCATTTGGGTGCTTGTCCTAAAGAGACGTTGTATGTGGTTACCTGCCAATCAAGAAATGCGAGACAATTCATAAAGAGGAACTGCTATGATTAGCTTCTTATTGGTGTCTCCTCTTCTTCCAGGTAACCCCAGACACCTACATGTTCTGATTGGGACCTCAGTGGTCAAAATCCCTTTCACCATCCTCCTCTTCTTTCTCCTTCATCGCTGGTGCTCCGACAAAAAAAGTAAGTCTCACGAAGCAGAGGCCAGAGAGCTCAGGGCCATGTGGGGAAGCAGGATGGGAGCACGCGGATGTGTGTTCCTCACCAGCAGGATGGTCCCTGGCCCAAGACAGGAGCCACAGAGGCAGGACTTTCTAGAGAGAGCACCAGATTCCCTTCCCCTGCCTTCAGCTCACAGACCATTGCCTGATTCTGAACTGTATCCTCACGTCCCCTGCAGCCACTCACATCCAGGAGAAGGTTCCATGACAGGCAGAAAGTGGGAGATAGAATCAATGGGATGGGACCTCAGAGCTATTCATGGGATGGGTCCTTGAACTCAGAGAGATAGAATGTCTGAGTCTGCTGTTGGCAACTGAGGGACCTCAGGCACCTATGGCCTCCCCCTGTTTGTTGGTATCTGCTTATGAAATGAGGACCCAGAAGTGCCCTCCGAGCTCTTTTGTTGACTTCCGTCTTCTACAGATGCTGCTGTAATGGACCAAGAGCCTGCAGGGAACAGAACAGTGAACAGCGAGGTAGGTGCTCCTCGGCCCAGCCTCGTGGCTAGTCTTATTCCCAAAGAGTCCTGAAAAATGTGAGCACCCTCCCTCACTCAGCATTTCCCTCTCTCCAGGATTCTGATGAACAAGACCATCAGGAGGTGTCATACGCATAATTGGATCACTGTGTTTTCACACAGAGAAAAATCACTCGCCCTTCTGAGAGGCCCAAGACACCCCCAACAGATACCAGCATGTACATAGAACTTCCAAATGCTGAGCCCAGATCCAAAGTTGTCTTCTGTCCACGAGCACCACAGTCAGGCCTTGAGGGGATCTTCTAGGGAGACAACAGCCCTGTCTCAAAACCGGGTTGCCAGCTCCCATGTACCAGCAGCTGGAATCTGAAGGCATCAGTCTTCATCTTAGGGCATCGCTCTTCCTCACACCACGAATCTGAACATGCCTCTCTCTTGCTTACAAATGTCTAAGGTCCCCACTGCCTGCTGGAGAGAAAACACACTCCTTTGCTTAGCCCACAATTCTCCATTTCACTTGACCCCTGCCCACCTCTCCAACCTAACTGGCTTACTTCCTAGTCTACCTGAGGCTGCAATCACACTGAGGAACTCACAATTCCAAACATACAAGAGGCTGCCTCTTAACACAGCACTTAGACACGTGCTGTTCCACCTCCCTTCAGACTATCTTTCAGCCTTCTGCCAGCAGTAAAACTTATAAATTTTTTAAATAATTTCAATGTAGTTTTCCCGCCTTCAAATAAACATGTCTGCCCTCATGGTTTCGGTAACGAGACTCTTTTCTTGCCTAAGGCTTCCGGTGTTATCATTACCGTGTCCACATAACCCCATCTGTTCTCCATTGGGTTCTCAGCCCTGGACTCTGAGCTTCTGGAAGCAGAATGGAGCCTGATTTGTCTCTGAGACTCCAATTTCCATCCAAAGATACAGCACATAGGAGGCTCCAAGGATCGTGAATCACATGAACAAGTGATATTCTTACTCTCTGCAGACCTGGAAAGCTGGCAGAGTCATTCCACGATGAAACATTTGTAGAGTCATAGGCCTTGTTAGCCTCATCTCCACGGGGACACATATCAACATATCATCTTTCATAATATAAATATACAGTCGGTCCTCCATATCTGTGGGGTTTACAGGTGTTTATTGAACCAACAATAAATCAAAAATATTTTCAGAAAAAAATCCCCGAAGTTTCAAGAAGCAAAAAACTATGTTGAATCGACACAAATTGAGTGGCGTGTAGGCTGTGTCAGGAATTATAAGTAATCAAGAGATGATTTCATGTATACAGGAGGATGTGCATGGGTTCTATGCAATTACTATGCTATTTTTTTTTTTTGAGACAGTCTCACTCTCTCACCCAGGCTGGAGTGCAGTGGCATGATCTCAGCTCACTGCAACCTCCGCCTCCCAGGTTCAAGCGATTGTCTTCCCTCAGCCTCCCCAGTAGCCTCCCCTAGGATTACAGGCACGTGCCACCATGCACAGATAAATTTTTTTGTGTGTGTATTTTTAGTAGAGATGGGGTTTCAGAATGTTGGACCAGCTGGTCTTGAACTCCTGACCTCGTGATCTACCCAACTCAGCCTCCCAAAGTGCTGGGATTACAGGCGTGAGCCACGGTGCCCAGCTTCGCTATGCCATTTCATGCAAGGGGCTTGAGCATCTGCAGATTTTGGTATCTGAATGGGGATCCTGGAACCAATCACCCAGGAATAGTGAAGGACCACAGTATATAATTTTTATTTGTCAATCTTAAAAATAAAGCATAAAAAGTTTACAACAACAAGATAAAAAATAAGAAGTGTTTTTATAGTGTGAGGATAAGTTTAGATTTATTTTTTCCTACGTGTAACCCTATGGTCCTGTGTTATTTATTGAGAAAATATTCTATTCCACCTTAAACTGCATGGCAGCCTTTGTCAACTATAAAGGGACTGTGTATCCACAGATGTATTTTAGACACAGTTTTCTGCCCAGTGGTTCTCTGTATCCCCTCTCATGAGGATGCTGCATTTCATATAAACTTATAGAACCCCTTAAAATTTGGTAACCTGAGTTCTCTGATTTGTTATTATAGGTTATTTAGTTTGCTTTTTTTTTTCTTTCTTGAGACAGACTCTTCCTCGGTCACCCAAGCTGGAGTTCAGTGGCTTGAGCTCAGCTCACTGCAGCCTCCGCCTCCCAGGTTCAAGCAATTCTCGTGCCTCAGGTTTAGTACTAGAAACTCATCAGGAAAATTAGAATGGCTTTTTGTCACAATTACTCTGATAATGTTAATAATACCTCTTAGATATTTTGCACATTACACATGAAGAAAAGTTTGAATCTCAGATAAAAACAAAAATACATCAAAAGTCTTTAATGTAAGCACAGAATTCAATCACCTCATGTGTGAGAGGTTGGATCTGAGACGTCTTTTGAGTCTGGTCATAGTGAAGGATGCAAGGTGGCAATTGTAGTCACAACAATTTCCAGGAAGCCATGTTCCGCTCTTGAGCGAGCACCCACTGGGCCTCATGCAAGGTAGAAAGAGCCTGCGTACGTCACCCTCCCATGATGTGGTCAACATGTAAACTGCATGGGCAGGGCGCCAAATAACATCCTGTGCGCTGCTGAGCTGAGCTGGGGCGCGGCCTCCTGTCTGCACCGGCAGCACCATGTCGCTCACTGTCGTCAGCATGGCGTGCGTTGGTGAGTCCTGGAAGGGAATAGAGGGAGGGAGAGTGGGGATGGAGATCTCGGCCTAGAGGTAAAGATATGGGCCTGGAGTGGAGATATGGGCCTGGAGTGGAGATATGGGCCTGGGTGTGGAGATATGGGCCTGGAGGTGTAAATATGGGCCTGGAGTGGAGATATGGGCCTGGAGGGGAGATATGGGCCTGGGTGTGGAGATATGGGCCTGGAGTGGAGATACGGGCCTGGAGTGGAGATATGGGCCTGGGGTGGAGATATGGGCCTGCAGGTGGAGATCTGGGCCTGGAGTGGAGATATGGGCCTGGAGTGGAGATATGGGTCTGATGTGGAGATATGGGCCTGGAGTGGAGATATGGGCCTGGAGTGGAGATATGGGCCTAGAGGGGAGATCTGGGCCTGGAGTGGAGATATGGGTCTGATGTGGAGATATGGGCCTGGAGTGGAGATATGGGTCTGATGTGGAGATATGGGCCTGGAGTGGAGATAGGGGCCTGGAGTGGAGATATGGGCCTGGAGTGGAGATCTGGGCCAGGAAGTGTTGATCTGGGCCTGGAGCCTGGGTCTCTCCACAGCTGAGAGCCCTGTTCTTGGCAGCAGGTAGCAGGGAGGCTAAGTTTACCTTCAGCCCAGCAAGGGCCTGGCTGCCAAGACACACAGTGCAGTGGGGGCAGCAGGGTGCCCTGGTTTGCCTGCAGTTGGATCGTCTATCATGATCTTTCTTTCCAGGGTTCTTCTTGCTGCAGGGGGCCTGGCCACTCATGGGTGAGTCCTTCCCCAAACCTTAGGGTGTCATCTCCCCACATAAGAGGATTTTTCTGAAACAGGAGGGAAGTCCTGTCGGGGAGTCTCTCATAAACTAGGAAGAGGGGACCCTTGGATACTCGGCCCACATTTCTGACCTCGCCCTCCCCGGCCTTTCTTTCCCTTTCCTGAGTCAAGCTCTGTGAAGACTGGGGTGAGACTGGGGTGCTCCAAGCTGGGGTGTGCAGGGAGGAAGTGGTGTCAGCAGCAGAGAAAGAGAGGGATGCAGTGCTAGGAACAGCAGGTCCTCTGAGGACAAAGGTATAACTGACACCCTCCAGCGTTTCCGTGACGGTAGGGACTGCAGTGTGGCTGCGGTCTTTCTACCAGAAGAGGGGGGAAACCACAGCCATGGCCCTGACATTCCAAATCCTCTGAGGGGGCTCAGTTCATGAATTGGCTGATATTCCATTCACATAGGACATGCCCTCCATGCCGTGTCTACTTTGTGTTGTTTTATGTGAGTAATTTTGCAGTATTAAAATCTAGTAAGAGTCACTTATTCAGCACTTGCTCAAAGTTCTCAGCTGACACTTGTTGTAGGGAGACGCCATGTCTATGTGGGGTGGGTCCTTCCTGTAGCCCTGGGCACCCAGGTGTGGTAGGAGCCTTAGAAAGTGGAAATGGGAGAATCTTCTGAGCACAGGGAGGGAGGGGCGGCTCCACATCCTCCTCTCTAAGGCAGTGCCTCCTTCTCCCCCAGGTGGTCAGGACAAACCCTTCCTGTCTGCCCGGCCCAGCACTGTGGTGCCTCGAGGAGGACACGTGGCTCTTCAGTGTCACTATCGTCGTGGGTTTAACAATTTCATGCTGTACAAAGAAGACAGAAGCCACGTTCCCATCTTCCACGGCAGAATATTCCAGGAGAGCTTCATCATGGGCCCTGTGACCCCAGCACATGCAGGGACCTACAGATGTCGGGGTTCACGCCCACACTCCCTCACTGGGTGGTCGGCACCCAGCAACCCCCTGGTGATCATGGTCACAGGTCAGAGGCTTTCTGTCTGGGCTTCTCACTGTCCCACCTCCTGAATCCCAGAGCTTCTGGTGGGGGTGTCCATCAGGGTCCCATCACCCAGGCCCCAACTGTATTTGGGGTCAAGGGGGATTGAATACAGGGGAAATGGGCGCTGTGGTGGGAAGAATCACTGTCGCCAATGATGGCTACATTGTAAACCCTGGAGCCTGTGACTATTTATGTTATAGGGCAGGGGACTGAAGGGGAAGGTGGAGCTCAGGTTGTTGATGAGTTGACCTTGAGATGGGGAGACAGCCTGGACTGTCCTGCTGGGCTCAGTGTAATCACAAGGGTCCGCGTGAGAGGTGGAGGAAGAGGGGAGTGGGGATTAGAGCAGTGTAGTGGGAGGGAGACGCTATCAGCCACTGTGGGCTTTGAAGGTGGAGGAAGGCCACTAGTCACAGAATGCAGGTGGCCTCTAAGGGCTGGAGAAGTCAAGAGAACTGATTCGCTGATTCTCCAGAGGGAACGCAGCCCTGCAGATGCCTTGATTTCAGCACAGGGAGAACTGGATCCAATTTCTGTCCCCAGAAGTGGAAGGGGTCAGTGTGTTCTCTCCTGCTGCCATGTTTGTGATAATTTTCTGCAGCAGCAACAGGAAACCGACACAGGAACCCAGGTCAAGGACAAGCTAGGAAACCAAACAAGGATAGCCAGGTGTGGTGGTGGGCACGAGTAATCCAACGACTGGGGAGGCTGAGGCAAGATAATCACTTGAACCGGGGAGGCAGAGGTTGCAGTGAGCCAAGACAACACCACTGCACTCCAGCCTGGGTGAAAAAGTGACTGTCTCAAAAATAAATTAATTAATCAATTAATTAAAGAAACCAAACAAGGAGAAGGTTGGCTACCGTGGGATCAGCAAGGGTGGGATGCTGATGCCACCACCAGGCTCCATCCACATAGGAAGGGGTTGATGCTCCTGGAACCAGCACCAGGGACCACCCTATGGAAGCTGGGGCCATGGAGAAGGCACAGACATGGCAGGAGAGGCTCCCAATCCCCATCAGGAACAGGGTGTGTGGACACTGATGTCTGCCTTACTGATGAGTTGATACCTCTGCCAGAGACTCCAATTTGTTCAAAAGAGATTGATTCAGGCTGCTGAGAGCCTGGACATGCAGCCTGTCCTCTTCCACCCCCACATAGACAGCAGGAAAGAGACTAGTGGGAAAGAGATACAACAGCCCAAGAGATGAGGCTCTCTTCACAGTGGGAAGGGAGTCAGGGGCTACTGGAGACAGAGGGACAGAGAAGAGGGAGGAAGACAAATGGAGGGACCTGCACCAGGGGATATGGGCACAGAAAAGACACGGAGACACAGAGAGGGAGGAGAGAGACAGACCTCTGGGAGGGGAACCCTCACTCATTCCAGGTGCCATGGATGGGATGATAAAGAGAGATGCCTTCTAAACTCACAACTTCTCTTTCTAGGAAACCACAGAAAACCTTCCCTCCTGGCCCACCCAGGGCCCCTGCTGAAATCAGGAGAGACAGTCATCCTGCAATGTTGGTCAGATGTCATGTTTGAGCACTTCTTTCTGCACAGAGAGGGGATCTCTGAGGACCCCTCACGCCTCGTTGGACAGATCCATGATGGGGTCTCCAAGGCCAACTTCTCCATCGGTCCCTTGATGCCTGTCCTTGCAGGAACCTACAGATGTTATGGTTCTGTTCCTCACTCCCCCTATCAGTTGTCAGCTCCCAGTGACCCCCTGGACATCGTGATCACAGGTGAGAGTGTCCAGACATTCTTCTCATTGTCATTGGGACACAGAGTGAATGATCCAGGACTTGGAACCCCCAGGTGGTCATGAGGAAGATAAGCGTGGGATTCTTATGGAGAGAGACTGACTCGGTGAGGTCTGTACCAACAGAGACAGGGAAACAGGAGACATAAGTACAGACCAGGTGTCATAACAGAGGACAGACACAGGGGCCATACGGGGAAGTAGAAAAGAGAGAAAGAGGTAAAGGAGACACTCAGACAGACAGACATGTGCCAGAGAGAAGTGTCCTTCCATGCTGACTTTGCTCAGAGACCTGGCACAGGTTAGAAGTTTCATTTCTGTTTTGTCTCCACAAAGTGCTTCTACGAGGAGAACCCAAGGACACCCATATTTCTGACCTGAGTTGGGCCCTGTGGCCTCAGGCCTTGTGGCATCTACAGATGCCATGTTTATTCTGACACCTCTGCCTTCCATGCAGTGGAGCCATAATTATCCCAGGATATCATGGCCCCAGAACACCAACCCCTAAATACTGTGTGTACTTGGTGTCCCCAGACTAGATTCTGAGGCTCATATTCCAAATAATCCTACATATAATAGGATCACTGAGAGACACAGAGATAAATCAGGGACTTCAAAAAGCAAAGGCATAAACACACAGAGAATGAGCCAGAGGAAGGGGATTGAGAGACTCACAGACACACAAAAAGAAAGAAAAGAGGGCAGAGGAGTGGAGAGAATGCTGGAAGGGAGGAGAGAAAAGCCCCAAAATCAGAACCCTGAGGGAGGGGCACAAAGACAGAGAAAGATAAAGATGTGGGGATGGATTGCAGAGATTCCAAATAGAACTAGAGAGACTGAGAGGCAGAGAAAGACAAGGAGATGGAGAGAGACAGATGATAGATGGATAGATAGATATAGATAGATGATAAATAGGTAGATGATAGATAATGGATAGGTTATAGATACATAGATGATGATTGATAGATGATACATAGAGATGATGATGATGATGATGATGAAGATAGATAGAAGACACATATATAAATATATAGATACATAGATGATACATAGAGACTGACAGGCAGACAGAGAGGTAATAGAGAGAGAGAGAGATGATACATAGATACAGATAATACATAGATGATTGATGGATAGACAGATAGACAATTGATAGATAAATGATACATAGATATAGATGACAGATAATTTGTAGATAGACACAAAATAGATAGATAGATAATAGATAGAAATATGCAGAAAGTTATGAACAAGACAGAAAGTGAGAGACTCAGAATTATAGAAAAAGGAAGATCAAGTCAACCAATCCAAGGAGAGTCAGAGAGAATAAAACAATCCAAAAAGGGAAAGCATACCCAGGGGTGGGGAAGTGAGGTCAGAGACCTAGAGAGACAGAGAAGGCGGAAGGAGGAAATAGACATGAAGAGAGTTGGGGTGGAGGGTGAGAGAGAGAGAGAGCATTAGGTCATAGAGCAGGGGAGTGAGTTCTCAGCTCAGGTATGAGGGGAGCTGTGACAAGGAAGAACCTCCCTGAGGAAACTGCCTCTTCTCCTTCCAGGTCTATATGAGAAACCTTCTCTCTCAGCCCAGCCGGGCCCCACGGTTCAGGCAGGAGAGAACGTGACCTTGTCCTGTAGCTCCTGGAGCTCCTATGACATCTACCATCTGTCCAGGGAAGGGGAGGCCCATGAACGTAGGCTCCGTGCAGTGCCCAAGGTCAACAGAACATTCCAGGCAGACTTTCCTCTGGGCCCTGCCACCCACGGAGGGACCTACAGATGCTTCGGCTCTTTCCGTGCCCTGCCCTGCGTGTGGTCAAACTCAAGTGACCCACTGCTTGTTTCTGTCACAGGTGAGGAAAACCCGTGTCTGTCCCATGTCTTATGATCCTAGAGCCATAGCTGAGGAGCTTCCTGCCGATGATGGGGAGAAGCATGGACAGATGCAGAGAGAACACGAAGACTGGGTGTGAGGGGGGGTCAGGGTGCAGGATGGCAGACAGGGCACCTCCAAACCCTCTTGCATGGCCTGCATGGAGGCCCATGGTCAGGGCTCCAGGCACCCAGGCAGATGGAGAAAGCGGTCAGGACAGACCCAGAGAAGGGGAGACTGGGCTCAGTTTGGGGAGATCAGAGGTTCCCTCAGCCCCTCAACCTTACCCATTTCCCAGAAGCCCATCCTGGCCTCTCACCCACACAGAGAGATGTCATCACCAGCAACCCCTACACTCTTTTCTTTTCATTTTCAAAAATATTTATTGAGGTTAAATGTAACTATATAATTTACCAACTTTACCATTTTTAAAAGTAAAATCTAGTGGTCATAAATACCTTTATATGCTGGGTGTGGTGGTTCACGGTTGTAATCTTGGCGCTTTGAGAGGCCAAGAAAGGTGGATCATTTAAGATCAGGGACTCGAGATCAGCCTGGCCAACATGCGGGAAATTCATCTTTACTAAACAGACAAGAAAAATTAGCCAAGCATGCCGGCATGCACCTGTAGTCCTAGCTACTTGGGAGGCTGAGGCAGGAGAAGCACTTAAAGCCAGGAGGCAGAGGTTGCACTGAGCCGAGATCATGCCACTGCACTGCAGCCTGGGAGACAGAGAGAGACTCTGTTTCTAAATAAATAAATACATCTATATTCTTTTTTTTGTTACCTTCCACCCTTCCCTTCCTGGCCTCTGGTATCCACCATTCTATTCTCTACCTTCATGAGATCCACCTTTTATCTCCTGCATGTGGTGAGAAATGGGAATCTTTGTAATGACCTCCAGTTCCATCCATGTGGCTGCAAATGACAGGATGTTATTGTTTCTATGGATGAGTAGTCTCCACCGTGTGTGTGTACTACAGTTCTCTATCCATTCACCCACTGATAGGCAGGTAGGTTGACTCCACATCTTGGCTACTGTGAACAGTGCTGGAACAGTCATATGAGTGCAGATATCACTTCGATACACTGATGTCCTTTCCTTTGGATATAAACCCAGTAGTGAAATTGCTGGACACTATGAAAGTTCTCTTTTTTTTTTTTTCTTTTTTGAGAAAGAGTTTCCCTCCTTAGTCCAAGCTGGAGTCAAAGTGGTGCGATCTTGGCTCATTGCAACCTCTGCTTCCTAGGTTCAAACGATTGTCCTGACTCAGCCTCCCTAATAGCTGTGATTACAGGTGCACGCCACCATGCCTGACTAATTCTTGTATTTTTTAGCACAGACGGGATATCCCAATTTTGGGCAGGCTGCTCTCAAACTCCTGACCTCAAGTGAGGTGCCTGCCTCGGTTTCCCAAAGTGCTGAAGTTACAGGCATAAGCCACTATGCCCAGCCTCCTTTTAGTTTTTTAAAGATTTTCCATACTTTTCTCCATAATAGTTGTACTAATTTACATTCCTACCAACAGGGTACCAGGGTTCTCCTTTCTCTACCATCTTGCCAGCATTTGTTTTGCCTGTCTTGCAGATAAAAGCCATTTTACTTTACTTTATTTATTTATTTATTTATGTTGAGATGGAGTTTCACTCATAGTCGCCCAGGCTGGAGTGCAAGGGTGTGATCTCGGCTCACTGCAACCTCTGCCTCCCGCGTTCAACTGATTCTCCTGCCTCAGCCTCCAAAGTAGCTGGGATTACAGGCATGTGCCACCACGCCTAGCTAATTTTTGTATGTTTAGTAGAGAGGGAGTTTCTCCATGTTGGTCAGGCTGGTCTCCCGACCTCAGGTGATCCGCCCACCTCCGCCTCCCAAAGTGCTGGAATTACAGGCGTGAGCCACCGGCCTAAAAGGCATTTTAATGGGATGAGATGAAAACTCATCGCGATTGTAATTTACATTTCTGTGATGATGAGTGATGCTGAGCACTTTTTCATATACGTGATCGCCATTTCTATGTTTTGTTTGTGGAGAAATGTCTCCTCATGTCTTTTGCTCGTTTTTTAATTAAATTGTTTTATTGAGTTGTTTGAGCTTCTTATATTTCCAGTTATTAATCCCATCTCAGATGAATAGTTTGCAAATATTTGCTCCTATTTTGTGGGTTGTCTCTTCACTTTGTTGGTTTATCTTTGGTGGTGCAGAAGTTGCTTGGTTTGATGTAATCCTAATGGTCTATTTTTTGCTTTGATTACTTGTGTTTTGAAGGTTTTAAACAAAATGTCTTTCGTCAGACAAATGTCTTCCCCATTATTTTCTTCTACATGTTTCATAGGTTCAGGCCTTAGACTCATGTTTTTAATCCATTTTCATTTGATTTTTGTGTAAGGTGACAGGTATAGATGCAGTTTTATTCCTCTGCATGTAGATATCCAGTTTTCCCCACACCATTTATTGAAGACTGTCCTTTCCTGATTGTAAGTTCTCGGCACCTTTGTCAAAGTCCATTAAATGGGCTGGGTATGGTGGCTCACACCTGCAATTCCAGCACTTTGGGAGGCCGAGGCGGGTGGATCACCTAAAGCCAGGAGTTCAAGACCAGGCTGGCCAACAGAGTGAAACCTCGTCTCTACTAAAAATACAAAAATTAGCTGAGCATGGTGATCAGTGCCTGTAATACCACTACTCAGGAGTTTGAAGCAAGAGAATTTCTTGAATCCAGGAAGTGGAGGTTGCATTGAGCTGAGATTGCACCTCTACACTCCAGCCTGCATGACAGAGCAAGATTCTATCACACACACACAAAAGAAAGCCATTGGATGTAAATGCATGGATTATATCTGTGTTCTCCATTCTGTTCCATTTTTTATGTGCCTTTCTTTATGCCAATGTCATGCTGTTTTGCTTACTACAGCTCTGTAACATATTTCTAAGTCAGGTAGTGTGATGCTCCTGTTTTCTCTTTATACCTTCAAGTCTCAAGACAGTGGGCATCGCACACAAAAATTATGGAGAAAAGGATCCCAAGACTCCCAGGGTCCAACATTAGATAACAGAGTGTTGGCCATGAACCAACCTCAAAGATTTCCATTGAGTAGAGGACAAGCACCCTCATTTCCTCACATCTCTCCTGTCCCGTGTTCTAGGAAACCCTTCAAGTAGTTGGCCTTCACCCACAGAACCAAGCTCCAAATCTGGTGAGTAAAGGACCCCTCTTATCTCTGCTTTTGGAAACCTGGGGAGGTGGAAGCCTTGGATGCAAGTGTTGGCTCAAACCTCCCAGCTCTGTGAATGAGGGCCTGTCTTCCACCATCTCTGAACTCCAGACACTCCAACAGTGAAAGGGATCTAGGGCCACCAAAGGGCTCAGCGAAGTCTCTTTACCTTTAATTTCCTGCAGGTGAGACCTCCTACAAGCTAGAAGAATAATTGCCAATCTGACATCCTTCTCAGGAAAAATGCAGTGTTTTTTCTGCCTGCATTCCTAACTGGAGGATAAATTCCCGGGGGCTTGAGAGAGGGAAGGGAAGGGAACATCTGATGAGGGTGGGTGTTTTAGAGAAGTTCCACTTGCCAAGGAATGAATTACTGTTGGTCATCAGGCAACCCTGGCTGACTCAGCAGAGCAAGAGCCTTGCCGTAACAGAGAACAGAGCTCATGCACGCACACTTCGACTCAGTGACTCATTCAGCCACAGCCCCATGCTCAGGCTGTGCAGTGTGGAAGCTTTTCCTATTGTTGCCATAACAAATTTCCACAAGATTCGTGTGTGAAAACAAAACGGTTATTTAATTATCTTACAGTGCTGTAGCTCAAAGCATGACGTGCATGTCACTGGGCTAAAATCAAGGTGACAGCAAGGCTGCCTTCCCTCTGAGGGTTCCAGGCAAGAATCTGCTTCTCACTTTTCTCAGCTTCTAGAGGCTCCCATGTTCCTTGGCTCCTGGTACCCTTCCTCCTTCCTCAAAGCCCACAAAGACTGGTCACATCTCACATGGCATCACTCAGACCCTTCTTCCTTACCACACCTCTTTCTCTGAATGCTGCTCTCCCTTCTTGCCCTTCTTTTGAAAACTTGGGGATTCTATTGGGTTCACCAAGATGAAAATCCATCATAATCTCCCGGAAATCATCCAGGATACCCTCCTTTTAAGTTCAGCTGACTAGCAACCATAATTCCATCTGCAATCTTCATTCCTCCTTTCATGTAAAATAACATATTCACAAGCTATGGAGGCTAGGACATGGACATTTTTGGGGTGGGACAACATTCTCCTGCCTTCCACAAACAGTGAACAAGATGCATTTGGCCTCTGTTCTTGGGACACTGATCTTGCAGATGGTTAAATGGGAGGGCAGAAAATGTAGGCACAAGGGGACCAATAAATGAATGATCTATTGAGAAGCATCTGTGCATGAAATCTATTTATTTATGTATTTACCTACTTGTTTATTGAGACGGAGCCTTGCTCTGTCGTCCAGGCTAGAGTGCGGTGGCATGATCTCGGCTCACTGCAACCTCCACCTCCTGGGCTGAACTGATCTCCTCCCTCAGCCTCTCCAGTAGCTGGGATTACAGACCACAACCACCACGCCCGGCTAACTCTTTTTGCATATTTTCTGTAGAGAGGATGTTTCACCATGTTGGCCAGGCTGGTCTCAAATTCCCAACCTCAGGTGATCCAATAGCCTCTGCCTCCCAACACGCTGGGATAAGAGGCATGAGCCACGGGGCCAAGCCAAATTTTCAAATCAATAATAGATAATGCTGAGAGTATTATTTCAGGTGACAGAGAAGTTCTCACTAATCAGATATTTGTGACATTAATGAAAAACACGGATTGAACCCCTGAAAGATTGGCGGAAGGATTTTGCACACACAGCTGTCAGCCGTGAAGGCACAAAGGTGAAAACAATCTGATGTGGAAGGAAGAGGCTCTGCCTGAAATGCTGGGAATGAGGTGGGGAGAATGACAAGATGACTGTAGAGAGACGGAGAGCACACTGGGTACACAGGAAACTAAGGAGCAACAAGGAGCGTGTGTTTGACACTCACAGCCATTGGATTCACCTCGAGGTAACCAGGAATCCCTACATGATTAATATGACTGACATGAAAATAAGGGAGGCTCAGTTGCATAACTGGAATCTAGGAGACCGTGGAAAAGGCAATTGCCGCCCCACTGGTGAAATGTGGTGCTGATTTAGACACTAAATGAATGAAGTAGATGGATATAAGATATGTTTGTGAGGTAGAATCATTGGCTGGAAAGGCTTGCTGGGTTTAATTTTTCCTGGTAGTTTAATCCTCGCTTCACTAACTTATTTCTGAGATTTATTTCTCCTGCATCTAAATCAATACCTGGCAGAGGAGGGAGAGCTAGATGAGGGGTGGTGCAAATGAAGGGACCTAGTATAGCATAATATACAAGGCTGTGAACGGTGGCTCACGCCTATAACCCAGCACTTCAGGAGGCCAACGCGGGTGGATCACATGAAGTCAGGAGTTCGAGACCAGCCTGGCCAACATGGAGAAACCCTATCTCTACTAAAAATACAAAAATTAAACAGGCATGATGGTGGTGCATGACTGTAATCCCAGCTACTCTGGAGGAGGAAGCAGGAGAATGACTTCAGCCCTGGAGGCAGAGGTTGCAGTGAGTGGAGATCGCATCACTGCACACCAGCCTGGGCTACACAGGGATACTCTGTCTCAAAAAATAAAAATAAAAAATACATAAATATAATAATATACACAAATGATGCAGGCACCTGAATTCCAATCATCATTTTTCTATTCCTCTATAATTACTTCTTTGATCCTTTATCTTATCCATTAGAAAATCAGCCTAAAACCTCTTCCATATTTGGCTTTCTGTGAACATGAGATCATATGGAAAATATGAAAGCCCCCTGAACCCACCAGCACAGGCCCTGAAATAGGGAAAGTGCTCTGTTCATCACAAGAAACTTTCCCCCTCACCCAAATCCCCCACCTCACCCCTACTTCCAATCACCTGTGGAGATACAGATAGATCATGGGGAGGTAAACGCTAATACTCCTTGGAGTGAGTTCAGATCTTGGAATCAGAGATCAGCACCAGCACTAGCTCCTGCTCCCCTTTCCTACTAATTCACAGGAGGACAGGTGGTTTTGAAGCAATAGATGGTGGAGGGGGTGGTCTTTCCCCCAGCCTCTCAGGTGGAACAGCAGCCTAACATGTGTCTCGCGAGATCACAAAGAGTAGCACGTTTCACATGGGCTTCATCATTATTTCCTGGCTGTTTGACATAAGAGAATTCTACTTTGCTTTTTTGATCTTGATTTCACTTTTGTGTCCTTTTCTTGGAGAATGTAATTTGAGTCAAGAGGGTTGTGGATGTAGAAACTGTAAAGCACATTCACTGTGTATCAATCCCAGTCCAGTCTTTCCAGAGAAGACTCTAAACACCTGCTGTACTGCACCTGGGCCTATGCCAATTTCTATCACTCACCGTCACTCCAGGGAGACAGAACACACAGAGAATACGTTACATAGGCAGGTTCATTACTAACAGATAAGCAGCGAGTGACAACAGAAGCCTACATTTCAACGTGAGCCAGTCCCTCAAGGCTCAGAAAAGCTGCTCGGGACATATGGAGTCACCTCATTTGCAGTGTATCTGGGGGAAGCCAGAAAATAGCCCAGCCTGGGTTTTGTACCCTGAAGCCACAGGAAGCACTCAGCTAAAGCACTGCATGACGTCCTCCTCCAGGAAGAACAGGAAGACAGCACAGGCTGTTCTGAGACGTTCCTCCTGATCTCAGGACGTTGCTGTCTTAGTCCATTTTTGTTGCTATAAAAGAACACTTGAGCCTGGGTTACTTCTTTTTTTTTTTTTTTTTTTTTTTGTATAGTGCTTCTGATGAGCTTTTTTTTAAAATTTTTATTATTATTATACTTTAAGTTTTAGGGTACATGTGCACAATGTGCAGGTTAGTTACATATGTATACATGTGCCATGCTGGTGTGCTGCACCCATCAACTCGTCATTTAGCATTAGGTATATCTCCTAATGCTATCCCTCCCCCCTCCCCCCACCCCACAACAGTCCCCAGAGTGTGATGTTCCCCTTCCTGTGTCCATGTGTTCTCATTGTTCAATTCCCACCTATAAGTGAGAACATGCGGTGTTTGGATTTTTGTCCTTGTGATAGTCTACTGAGAATGATGATTTCCAATTTCATCCATGTCCCTGCAAAGGACATGAACTCATCATTTTTTATGGCTGCATAGTATTCCATGGTGTATATGTGCCACATTTTCTTCATCCAGTCTATCATTGTTGGACATTTGGGTTGGTTCCAAGTCTTTGCTATTGTGAATAGTGCCACAATAAACATACGTGTCCATGTGTCTTTATAGCAGCATGATTTATAGTCCTTTGGGTTTATACCCAGTAATGGGATGGCTGGGTCAAATGGTATTTCAAGCTCTAGATCCCTGAGGAATCGCCACACTGACTTCCACAATGGTTGAACTAGTTTACAGTCCCACCAACAGTGTAAAAGTGTTCCTATTTCTCCACATCCTCTCCAGCACCTGTTGTTTCCCGACTTTTTAATGATCGCCATTCTAACTGGTGTGAGATGGTATCTCATTGTGGTTTTGATTTGCATTTCTCTGATGGCCAGTCATGGTGAGCATTTTTTCATGTGTTTTTTGGCTGCATAAATGTCTTCTTTTGAGAAGTGTCTGTTCATGTCCTTTGCCCACTTTTTGATAGGATTGTTTGTTTTTTTCTTGTAAATTTGTTTGAGTTCATTGTAGATTCTGGATATTAGCCCTTTGTCAGATGAGTAGGTTGCGAAAATTTTCTCCCATTTTGTAGGTTGTCTGTTCACTCTGATGGTAGTTTCTTTTGCTGTGCAGAAGCTCTTTAGTTTAATTAGATCCCGTTTGTCAATTTTGGCTTTTGTTGCCGTTGCTTTTGGTGTTTTAGACATGAAGTCCTTGTCCATGCCTATGTCCTGAATGGTAATGCCTAGGTTTTCTTCTAGGGTTTTTATGGTTTTAGGTCTAACGTTTAAGTCTTTAATCCATCTCAAATTAATTTTTGTATAAGGTGTAAGGAAGGGATCCAGTTTCAGCTTTCTACCTATGGCTAGCCAGTTTTCCCAGCACCATTTATTAAATAGGGAATCCTTTCCCCATTGCTTGTTTTTCTCAGGTTTGTCAAAGATCACATAGTTGTAGATATGTGGCATTATTTCTGAGGGCTCTATTCTGTTCCATTGATCTATATCTCTGTTTTGGTACCAGTACCATGCTGTTTTGGTTACTGTAGCCTTGTAGTATAGTTTGAAGTCAGGCAGCATGATGCCTCCAGCTTTGTTCTTTTGGCTTAGGATTGACTTGGCAATGCAGGCTCTTTTTTGATTCCATATGAACTTTAAGGTAGTTTTTTCCAATTCTGTGAAGAAAGTCATTGGTAGCTTGATGGGGATGGCATTGAATCTATAAATTACCTTGGGCAGTATGGCCATTTTCACGATCTTGATTCTTCCTACCCATGAGCATGGAATGTTCTTCCATTTGTTTGTATCCTCTTTTATTTCATTGAGCAGTGGTTTGTAGTTCTCCTTGAAGAGGTCCTTCATATCCCTTGTAAGTTGGATTCCTAGGTATTTTATTCTCTTTGAAGCAATTGTGAATGGGAGTTCACTCATGATTTGGCTCTCTGTTTGTCTGTTATTGGTGTATAAGAATGCTTGTGATTTTTGTACATTGATTCTGTATCCTGAGACTTTGTAGAAGCTGCTTATCAGCTTAAGGAGATTTTGGGCTGAGACAATGGGGTTTTCTATATATACAATCATGTCATCTGCAAACAGGGACAATTTGACTTCCTCTTTTCCTAATTGAATACCCTTTATTTCCTTCTCCTGCCTAATTGCCCTGGCCAGAACTTCCAACACTATGTTGAATAGGAGTGGTGAAAGAGGGCATCCCTGTCTTGTGCCAGTTTTCAAAGGGAATGCTTCCAGTTTTTGCCCATTCAGTATGATACTGGCTGTGGGTTTGTTATAGATGGCTCTTATTATTTTGAGATACGTCCCATCAATGCCTAATTTATTGAGAGTTTTTAGCATGAAGCGTTGTTGAATTTTGTCAAAGGCCTTTTCTGCATCTATTGAGATAGTCGTCCGGTTTTTGTCTTTGGTTCTGTTTATATGATGGATTACATTTATTGATTTGCATATATTGAACCAGCCTTGCATCCCAGAGCCTGGGCAACTTCTAGAGAAAACAGATTTGTTTGCCTCACAGTTCTGCAGGCTGTACTGGAAGCATGGCACCAGCATCTGTTTCCTGTGACGGCCTCAGGCTGCTCCCACTCTGGCAGAAGGGAAGGAGGGTCTGTCTGTGCAGAGACCACAGAGATCACATGGCAAGAGAGGGAGCAAGGGGGAGGGCGAGCGATGGAGCTTCCAAGCTCTTTTTAACAACCAGCCCTCCGGGAACTAATAGAGGGGGAACTTGCTAACCCCATCATGTGGGGCAGCATTAATCTATTCATGATGGATCCACCTCCATGACTCAAACACCTTCCCATAGGCCCAAACTTCCACACTGGGGGTTAAATTTCAATATTTCAGTGTGAGGTTTCAAAGGGTCAAACATCTAAACTAAAGCAGCTGTATCCTCAGCATGTTCTATGGTTTCTATGAGAGCTGTAACTGAGAAAGCAGGAGAAAGCTGGGTCTCCCGCCATCAGGCTGCTTGTCCTAAGGAGATGTTCCATGTGGTTACCTGTCAATCAAGAAATGAGACAATCCATAAAGAGGAACTGCTATGATTAGCTTCTTATTGGATTCCCATCTTCCTCCAGGTATCTGCAGACACCTGCATGTTCTGATTGGGACCTCAGTGGTCATCTTCCTCTTCATCCTCCTCCTCTTCTTTCTCCTTTATCGCTGGTGCTCCAACAAAAAGAGTAAGTCTCACGAAGCAGAGGCCAGAGAGCTCAGGGCCATGTGGGGAAGCAGGATGGGAGCACGCGGGTGTGTGTTCCTCACTGGCAGGATGGTCCCTGGCCCAAGGGAGGAGCCACAGAGGCAGGGCTTTCTAGAGAGAGCACCAGACAACCTGCCCCTGCCTTCAGCTCACAGACCATTGCCTGGTTCTGAACTGTATCCTCACATCCCCTGCAGCCACTGACATCCAGAAGCTTCCATGACAGGCAGAAAGTGGGAGACAGAATCAATGGGATGCCAATTGAGAGCACTTCATGGGATGGGGTCTTGAACTCAGAGAGATAGAATGTCTGAGTCTGGATGTTGGCAGCTGAAGAGCCTCAGGCACCTACAGCCTCCCCCTGTGGGTTGGTGTCTGCCCATGAAATGAGGACCCAGAAGGGCCCTCCAAGCGGTTTTGATGACTTCCGTCTCCTACAGATGCTGCTGTAATGGACCAAGAGCCTGCGGGGGACAGAACAGTGAATAGGCAGGTAGGTCCTCCTCGGCCCAGCCTCACGGATACAGTCTTATCCCTAATAGTCCTGAAAAATGTGAGCACCCTCCCTCACTCAGCATTTCCCTCTCTCCAGGACTCTGATGAACAAGACCCTCAGGAGGTGACGTACGCACAGTTGGATCACTGCGTTTTCATACAGAGAAAAATCAGTCGCCCTTCTCAGAGGCCCAAGACACCCCTAACAGATACCAGCGTGTACACGGAACTTCCAAATGCTGAGCCCAGATCCAAAGTTGTCTCCTGCCCACGAGCACCACAGTCAGGTCTTGAGGGGGTTTTCTAGGGAGACAACAGCCCTGTCTCAAAACCAGGTTGCCAGATCCAATGAACCAGCAGCTGGAATCTGAAGGCATCAGTCTGCATCTTAGGGGATCGCTCTTCCTCACACCACGAATCTGAACATGCCTCTCTCTTGCTTACAAATGCCTAAGGTCGCCACTGCCTGCTGCAGAGAAAACACACTCCTTTGCTTAGCCCACAAGTATCTATTTCACTTGACCCCTGCCCACCTCTCCAACCTAACTGGCTTACTTCCTAGTCCTACTTGAGGCTGCAATCACACTGAGGAACTCACAATTCCAAACATACAAGAGGCTCCCTCTTAACACGGCACTTACACACTTGCTGTTCCACCTTCCCTCATGCTGTTCCACCTCCCCTCAGACTATCTTTCAGCCTTCTGTCATCAGTAAAATTTATAAATTTTTTTTATAACTTCAGTGTAGCTCTCTCCTCTTCAAATAAACATGTCTGCCCTCATGGTTTCGATAATGTGACTCTTTATTCGCCAAAAGTTTCCAGTGTTATCATTACTATGTCCATATAACCTGATATGTTCTCTACTGGGTTCTCAGCCCTGGACTCTGAGCTTCTGGAAGCAGGGTGGAGCCTCATTTGTCTCTGGGACTCCAATTTCCATCCAAAGATGCAGCACATAGGAGGTTCCAAGGATCGTGAATCACATGAACAAGTGATATTCTTACTCTCTGCAGACCTGGAAAGCTGGCAGAGTCATTCCAAGATGAAACATTTGTAGAGTCATAGGCCTTGTTAGTCTCATCTCCACAGGGACACATGTCAACACATCATCTTTCATACTATAAATATACAGTCGCTCCTCCATATCTGTGGGGTTTACAGGTGTTTATTGAACCAAATATAAATCAAAAATATTCAGAGAAAAAATCCACAAAGTTCCAAAAAGCAAAAATACTATATTGTGTGGACACAAGTGAGGTGGTGTGTAGGCTGTATCAGGAATTATAAGTAATCTAGAGATGATTTCATGTATACAGGAGGATGTGCATGGGTTATATGCAAACGCTGTGCCATTTCATGCAACAGGCTTGAGCATCTGCAGATTTTGGTGTCTGGTAGGGAGGGGGGTTTCCTGGAACCAATCACCCATGAATAGTGAAGGACAACTGTATATAATTTTCATTCATCAATTTTATAAATAAATCATCAAAATGTATGATAATAAGATAAAAAATTAGCAGTGTTTTTATGGTGTGAAAATAAGCTTAGATTTATTTTTTCCTGCTTGTAACCCTCTGGTCCAATGTTATTTACTGAGAAGACATTCTATTCCACCTTAATCCGCATGGCAGCCTCTGTCAACTATAAAAGGACTGTGTGTACACAGATGTATTTTACACACTCTTTTCTGCTCAGTGGCTCTCTGTGTCCACTCTCATGAGGATGCTGCACTTTATGTGGCCTTATAGAACCCCTTAAAATTTGGCAGCCTGAATCCTCTAATTTCTCCTTCCTCTTTAAGATTGCCATTATTATTATTATTGGCTATTTGCTTTTCCATGTAAATTTGTAATCATTTTTCTCATTTCCACCAAAAACAATGCTTGTAATTTTGTTGTGACTCCCTTACATCTACAGGTAAGTTCTGTCCTATAGAAACATAATGCAAACCACATGCATTCTTTCAAACTTGCTAGTATCCAAATTAAAAAGCTAACAAGAAACAGATAAAATTAATTTAAGTTAACCCAATGGACCCAAAATATTATTAACCCAACAGACCCAAAATATTAACCTAATAGATCCAAAATATTATTTTATTATACAAGTAGACTCAAAATATTATCATTTCAACATGTAATCATGTGTCATCTTGGAAAACATCAGATCCCTGTCTAGGTGGGCAAAGATTTTTCTTCGTAATATCTCATTTCCACATTTCCACTTGGCACAGAAACTGCCCCCAAGGCTCAGGATACTAAGATGCAGTAGGAATGGGTAGATGTATCTGGAGGAAAGTGACTGAATGAAATTGAGACATCAGAGTCTGGGAAACTCACTAGAACTACAGGGACAGTGTGGGG